>NC_000009.12:103069036-103220552 GCF_000001405.40 Homo sapiens
ATCCAGCCAACTACAGATATGCGAATGAGATCAACAAAAACCAGATAGACTATCCATTTGACCCCTAGGTTCATGAACTAAATAAATGCTAAATGGTTTTAAGCACTAAATTTTAAGATGCTTTATTAGCCAGAATTTTTATGAAAACAGATAATGAATATGAATTTTGGCCTCTATGACATACCATAAACAGAACTTAATCTCAGATGGATTACAGACTTGAACATATACTAAAAGGCGATTAATTTTCTAGAGGAAAATATAAAATGATGTTATCATTAATTTGAGGTAAGGACAATGTATTAAAAGGGTATCCAAAAATACCTCTAGCTATA
Source organism: Homo sapiens (assembly GCF_000001405.40). Classification (NCBI taxonomy): domain Eukaryota; kingdom Metazoa; phylum Chordata; class Mammalia; order Primates; family Hominidae; genus Homo; species Homo sapiens. The sequence goes on from NC_000009.12 coordinate 103,069,372, forward strand.
AAGGAAAAGATTAACTGGACTTCCTCAAAACTAAGAATTTACATTCACTAAACACACCATTATCAGAGTAAAATAACAGGTCACAGGGTGACAGGAAATGCTTGTAATACATATATTTGAGAAAAAACTTTGGTATATCCTGAGTTACTATATATTACTGTAAATGTAAGTGACATATTTTGTGATTTTACTGAGCTATTTCTAATAAGAAAAAATAAATTGGCAAGTAAATAAAAATGACAGCATAGATGGAATGCTAAGAACTAAATTAATTTGATATTGTGATAGGAAATAATAGAGATTTGGAGTGATTTTACTTGAACCAAAGTATATGAAGAAGGCACCTATACAAGAAAAAAATAGAGGCTGAGGAAAAACACTTAGGAAGACAGAAAAGCTAAGATCTGAGAAAGATATATCCAGAGAAAAATTGAACCATATACAAACTGTTTGTCTACACTGAATACTATTATATTTTTCTCATCATGCTTTGGAAACAATAGATGAAGAAGAAAAAAATATGAAGAAGAAAAATCTAGCAATCAATTTTGTGATTACTCATATCTTTTTTGAAAAGCTGAACACGTGTTGATTTCAACAGCAGTTTTTTTATGTTAAACATTTAAAAGATAGGTGCTAAAATATTGCCAGATTATAATGGCTTACTTTTCCTTACTTTTCCTTAATGCTATAACTTCTTTTTGTAAAAAAAAAAATGTACATGAATTAGTAAGTACAATTTTCTAAGAATAAATTTCGTATCAATCATGACAAGGTCTTCTTAAAATTAGGCTCAATAGATTTTGAAACTAAAATATAACACAATAGATGTCTTATAAATAATATTAGATTATTTTTATATGGCAGCTTTGGCTTTATAAAATATATCAATTTTCAGACACTATACTACACTATTTCACAAGCACGTGGGCTAACAATACATCAGATATGTTACTGAATGCTACTGAATGATAGTCCAGTAAAGAAAATAATTCTGTTTATAGGATAAATAAGGAATAAATATTGAAAAACAATGTGACTAACCATACTCAGAGGAAACCATGCAGGCTCAAATTTAGACTTCTAGTCCCAAGAATGTTTTCTATAAATTCAACTTTGTGACTGGGACTCAGAGAAGTGTTTATATATAAGCTCACAATGTAATAAATACAGCTAATCTCCAAGTATATGTTGAAAAGTAGATGTGATGATACAATATTGAGTAAATCTCCATAGTTTAATGCTAGAGTAATGCTGCAACCAGCAGAAAGGGGCTCTAAACAGGCCACTCCTCACACATAGCATCACCTGATTCTATGCAGTGGCCATAGCTGACTTGATTAATGTCTCCAAAATACAGGAATCTTCTGGAATAGAATCATAGAAGGTAACCCTAGAGTTAGAATTTGGAATCAGGCAGGAAAGCAAGAAGCAACACGGACTAACGTAAAATAGAATTAGAGTTGTGTTAAGGCAGACCCAAACCTCAGACCACTGGGAAGCCCTCCCTGGTGCAACACTGAAATATACTGGGGTATATGAGGGGAATTTAAACAGCAGTAAGTTTTAATGTGTACATATAAAACAAACTCATCAGTAAAATAAAATTTACCTTTAAAAGGGCACTGGGTCAGAGATAAGAAAAAGAAGATTCTACAATGAAAAATACAAATAGCTTTAAATGTGTGAAAATAAAAATTTTCACTCACAAAAATGACAAAAATTAAAATAACAACAAAATGTTAATTTCTAATGCTGGAGTGGCTAGAGGGGTGTGGACATTTTCATATATGCCTGGCATAATACTACAACTGATCTAGTATACAATTTGGAACTAAGAATATTTATTTTATAAACTTAGACACAGAAACAAATGAAAATGTGACTTCATTTTATATTCAGGGAAATGCTTATTTACAACCATAAATCCACTAATTTTTAAATATATAAAGTCTTTGACACATTATTCTCTAGCCAAGAGGAAATGTCTGTATCTTTTATTTCTTCAAAGTTCTGTTCAATAATTACATCCTCAATTTAACATTTAGTACTTATATCCTTGACCACCCAAGCTAAATAAGTTATCATCTGAAACAGTCCCAGTCATTTTCTTTTCCTTTACTCCTGTGTTTCTTCATGGTTATTACTAACTTAAATAATTATATTATTTATTATTAATTTAGTCATTAGTTTGCTTTTGTTCACGTTATTTGTTTCTACTACCAGAAGGCAAATTCTTCTATCAAATTTTACTGCTTAAGTTTAATTAGAATTTGTTTCTGCTCTTTGCAACTAAGAAAACCAATGACCTGGTTTATGTAGGCATTCAAAGTTGTGTGTCACTTGATTTTAAGTTACCATTATTGATCTCACCAATGAATATGTCACTATTGTGAGAAGAGTATTAAGTAGCTCACAAAATCAAATGAATAGATCTAAAAAACTAAGTAACCATGTTCTAGTGGGAAAGGAAGATGTAAGACGCATTGAAACTATTTGGATAGGACTACTATATCTGATACAATTGCAAGTCAACACTTTTTTCACTACCTAGAGACAAGTTCAGTGAGAATTTGTCTGCATAACTAGATGTTTGATACAATCATAAGTCAATATTATTATTTCACTTTTTTCACTACCTAGAGACAAATTCAGTGAGAATCTGTCTATATAACTAGATGCTAGATTCATCTGTCACTTTTTATCTCTAACTGATCCTAAACATATATCTATGACTTCTTCAAGATTAAACATCCTGGACAGAAACAAATGATTAGCTGTAATCAAGTTACATGCCATGAGCAATCTGTCAAGGCATCCAAAAAGGGTTATCTGCTTTCCTTTTGATTAATGATACTGTTGGTTTATAAATATACTATTTGTTGTCTGTTTATGTTTTTGTTTCTTTCTGCCTTCTTTGAGTTTATTTTGTATTTGTCAATTTTAAGTTACTTTTGGATTTTCTGCTATGACCATTGTTTTATTATTTTAGTTGTTGTTTTACAGTATATTTATGTATCTTTAAATTTTTAGTCTAATTTCTAGTAATAGTATACCAATTTATTATATATATCTTATAATCATATGTTTCCAGTTATATGAAACATATGATTACTTACTTACTAACCTGTGTACTATTATTTTTATACATTTATGTATGCTACAAATAATCACATTTTTATTTCAACAATAATCTTTTAATGAGATTTGAATAATAAAAAATATAACTACATATACTTATCATTTATGGTGCTTTTATTCCAACTATATTTGTATCAGATCATTTTCCTTCTGCTTGAAGGACTTCTTTTAACATTTTTTTCTATTATAGTTACACTGCTGATGACAACTTTCAGCTTTTCTATTGTATGCTTGCAAAGGTTTTTAAAATTATATCTTCAGTTTTGCAAGATATTTTCTTGGGTATATAATTTTCAGTGGACAGATTTTCGCAAATTTTCTTTCTAAAATTTAAAGATTTTGCTTCACTGTCTTCTGACTTGTATTGTTTTTGATGGGAAATCTGCTGTCATAAAATGTTGCTTCTCTGTACAAAATGTAGCTCCACTCCTCCTTTGGTTGCTGTGAAGACTTTTTTCTTTATCACTTGTTTTGAGCAATTTGATTATTGTGTACTTTTTTGTTTTTCTTATATTTTTTACACATTACATTTATTGTGCTTTTGAGATCTCAGAGTTTAACATTTGTATGAAATTAGGAAAAAATAGGAAAAAAATCAGGGCATGATTATTCAAATAAGAATTTCTGTGCCCCATCTTGGTCTGAGGATTCCAAATAGACATTTTAGGCTGCTTTAAGAATATTAATGCACAGTGGAAATATGTAATGTTTTAAAGGCCTTTTTATACTTTTTAAAAATAATCTCTTTAAAGGTACAATTAACAAATAAAATTTGTATATATTTATTGTATACAACATGATGTTTTGATATGTGTAAATAAATTAAATGAATAAACTTATCCATCACTTAATATACTTAGGATTTTTGGGCTAAACACATTTTAAGATCTAATCTATGAGCAATTTTAACTATACAATACAATATTATTAACTATAATCACTAGGCTATATATTTTCAGAACTGATTCATCCTAAGCTGTCATGCTCTACAAGAAATATTTTGCACCCTTTAATCAACCTCCCTCCATTCCTAAATATTTTTATGCTATTGTAAATGGAATTGTTTTCTTAATTAGGGGGAATAGTTTACTGTTAATTTATAAAAACACTACTGATTTTTGGATGTTGATTTTGTAGCCTGCAACTTTACTGAATTTGTTTATCAATTCTAACACTTTTATGGAAGGAGCCTTTAGGGTTTTCTGTAATAAAATCATTTCATCTGCCAACAAAGACAATTTTACTTCTTCCTTTCTGATTTGGATGCCCTTTATTTCTTTTTATTGCTTAAGTGCTCTGGCTAGGACTTCCAGTACTACCTTAAATTGAAGTGATAAATGTGGTCATCCTTGTCTTTTTTCTGATCTTAGAGGAAAACCTTTAATAATTTTACCATTTAACTGTGTATTTGTTATAGATGGCCTTTATTATGTTAAGCTATAATTCTTCTATATCTAAGCTGTTGATATGGTTTGGCTGTGTCCCCACCCAAATTTCAACTTGAATTGTAGTTCCCATAATCCTCACATGTGGTGGCAGACACCCAGTGAGAGGTAACTGAATCATGGAGGTGGTTTCCCCTATGCTATCCCCGTGATAGTGAGTAAATTCTCACTAGATCTCAAGGTTTTGTAAGGGGCTTTCCTCCCATTTCACTCTGCACTTCTCCTTGCTGCCGCTATGTGAAGAAGGATGTGCTTGCTTCCCCTTCCAGCATGATTGCAAGTTTTCCGATGCCTCCCCCGCCATGCTGAACTGTGAGTCAATTAAATGTCTTTCCTTTATAAATTACCCAATCTCGGGTATGTCTTTATGAGCAGTGTAAGAATGGATGGACTAAAACAATTTTTAAGAGTTTTTATCATGAAAGCATTAACAATGAAAAGTATCCAAGTTACTGGTGGCAAATCCATACAGGTCTGCAACAAACTCAATTTTGGGGCTCCTCAGAAGAAAGAATTAGACTGAGAGGCATAAGGCAGAAAAAGAGACTGAGGCAAGTTACAGAGCAGGAGTGAAAGTTTACTTAAAAAGTCTTTAGAATAGGAAAGAAAGGAAAGTACGCTTGGAAGAAAGACCCAAGTGGGTGACTTGAAGGACAAGTGTAGTGTTTAACTTTGATCCTACGATTTTATAGGCTAGCTTCCCTCCAGGCACTTTGCACCCCTTTTTTATGATTCTTCCTTTGGAAAGGTGGGGTTTCCTGCATGCACAGTGCCCTCCTTACCTTTGGGAAGTGAGCATGTGCAGTGTGTTTAGGGAGTTGTATGCGTGCCCATTTCAGACTTTCTGCCCTTTTCCTGTGGTGTGCTCTCAGAACGTCATACTCCACCACCTTGTCTTTTAATGTGCATGTCAGGCTCACTTGTCCTGATATTTCAGTGGAAGCCCTTTTTGCTCTCTCTGGCACCTGCATTCAATTAACACTTTAATGTTTACGGCTATGAGCCATTAGAATCTTTTTTCCATGGTGCAGGCTGCCAAATTATCATTTTTAGAGAGACAATGTTATAATTGCCTCACTTGACATTCTTGGTGCAGGGAGGGGAGAGTCCTCTCTTGCCAGGCTCATGCCTGTCTAACTACTTGTAACAAAAGGATGTCAAAGTTTGTCAAATGCTCTTTCTACATCTATTGAGAAAATATGCTTTTGATTCTTCATTCTGTTTTGATACATGATATCAATTGATTAAAAGAAGTGAAAAGAAAAATAGAGAGCAACACCATAATATTAGGGTACTTCAATGCCCTACATTCCACACTAAATAGTTCCTCCAGACAAAAAAAGTCAATAAAGGACCAATGGATTGAAAGATATTATAGACCACATGGACTTAGCAGATGTGTAGAACATCACATCCAACTGCAGCAGGATACATACCCTTTTCAAGCACACACAGAACATTCTACAGGGCAGATCATATATTAGGTCACTGAACAAATCTTCACAAATTAATGAAGGTTCATATAATAGGTATCTCTTCTGACACCAATGGTATAAAATTAGAAATCAATAACAGAAAGAAAATTAGATGATTAACAAATATGTGGAAATTAAATAACACATTCCTGGACAGCCAGTGAGTTAAAAGATAAATAAAACAAAAATTTAAAAATATGTTGAGACAAATGAAAATGGAAACCAACATATAAAACTTATAAGATGTATCAAAAGCAATTTTAGGAGGAAAATTTATAGCAATTAAGCCCAACATTAAGAAAAAAGGTCTCAAAAAAACCCCTAACTTTACACCTCAAATAACTAGAAAGAGAATAATCTAATATCAAAGTCAGCAATACTAAAGGAAAAAAAAGAAACAAAATTGGTACAAAAAATACAAAAGGTCAATGAAAATGAGTTTTTTCAAAAGATAAACAATATTATTAAAACTTTAGCTAGACTAAGAAAATGAAAATATTGAAATGAATAAAATTATAATTGAAAGAACAGATGTTACAACTGATACCGCAGAAATACAAAGCCTCATAAAAGACTACTGTGTTTCATTTCAGATATCAGATATGTGCAATTCTTACCATAATAAATCTTAGAACATTTTTGTCTACTCAAAAAGAAGCTGTGTACCCTTAGCTATCAAACCCTAACTCCTATTCACCACTCCAGCTCTTAGCAACAATTAATCTATGTTCTTCTCTATAAATTTGGCAATACTGGACATTTTATACAAATAGACACATTTAATACGTATTATTACTGGCTCTTTTCTCTTAGTGTAACATTCTCAATGCTCATTCATGTTATAGCATGTATCAGTATTTCCTTCGTTTTTATGGTAGGATAATATTCTATTTATAGGTGTTGCATATATCATTAGTTGACGAACATTTAAGTGGTTTTCACCTCATGGCTATTATGAATGTTAATGTTTTAAGTACTTATGCACAAATTTTTATTTCTCTTAAGCATATATTTTGGAGAATAGTGGAACTGAAGGGTCATTAGTAACAATGTTTATTTATTTGAAGAACTTCCAGACTGTTTTCCAAAGTGGCTCAGCTATTTTAAATTTTCACCAAATGATAAATATTTCCATGTGTTGACAATCTCATCAACAATTGTTCTCTGTTTTTTGATTATAGATATTCTAGTGAATGTAAAGTGTTTTATCGCTCCCTAATGACAAATGATGTTGAGCACTTGTTCACGTGCTTACCAGCTATTCATATATCTTCTTTGGAGAAATGTCTACTCAACTCTTTCATGTATTTTAATTTGATTATTTGTCTTTTTATAGTTGAATTGTAAATATTTTTATATATGCATGATATTAGCTCATTACCAGATATGATTCAAAAACGTTTTTGTGCATTCTGTGAGTCATCTTCTCACTCACTTTATAATGTTATTTGAAGCAGATGTTTTTAATTTTGATGAAATCCAACTTATCATACATTTTTATATTGTTGTTCATGCTCTTGGTGTCATATCTAAGAATCCAATATCAAGTCCAAGTTTGTAAACATGTATATCATTTTTTTTTCAAGACTGAATCCTGCTCCAAGTAGCTGGGATTACAGACACATGCCATCACGCCCTGGTAATTTTTCTACATTTTCAGTAGAGACGGGGTTTCACCATTTTGGCCAGGCTGGTCTCGAACTCCTGACTTCATGATCCACTCACCTCGACCTCCCAAAGTGCTGGGATTACAGGTGTGAACCACCGCACCCAGCCATAAACATGTATATCTAATATTTCCATCTACAAATTGTACACATTTGACCTTGAACAACACAAGGGTTAGAGTCACCAACCACCGATGCAGTTGAAAATTTAGGTATAATTTTTTACTCCCCCAAAACCTAACTACTTATAGTTTACTTTTGACCAGAAGCCTAACCCATAAGTAGTCAATTAACACAAATTTTATTTGTTATGTGTATTATATGCTGTATTCTTACAATGCAGTAAGCAAGATAAGAAAAATGTTACTAAGAAAAACATAAGGAAGAGAAAACATTTTTACTACCCATTAAGTGGAAGTAGATTATCATAAAGATCTTTATCATCTTAACATCGAGTAGACTGAGGAGGAGGAAAAAGTGGGGCTGGTCTTAACACTGAGTAGACTGAGGAGGAGGAAAAAAATGGGGTTGGTCTTACTGTCTCAGGAGTGAGAGAGGCAGAAGAAAATCTACATATAAGTGAACCCACGCAGTTCAAACCCATGATATTCAAAGATGAATGGTAGTTTCAGTTTTTAAATTTTGCTCTTTGAGTTAATTTTTGTATATAGTGTGAGGTAAGGATTGAAATCTGGCTCTCCCATTATCTCAGCATTATTTGCTCTGCAAACGGTCTTAGCGCCCTTGACAAATGTTAGTTGGCCATAAACACACAGTTAATTCTGAACTGTAATTCAATGTATTTCATCTATATGTCTAACCACATGCCAGTGCAGTACTGTCTTGATTACTGTTGCTTTGTACTATGTTTTGAAAACAAAGAATGTGAGTCTTCTTACTTGTTCTTCTTTTTCAAGATTGTTTTGGTTATTTGGGGCCCTCTGCAAATCTATAAGAATTTCAGAATCAACTTGTTAATATTTACAAAAGAATTAACTGGCACTTAATAAGAATTGCATTGAATCTGTAGATCAATTCGGAGGGATATTGACATCATTGAAATATTTAGCCTTTCAATTTTCTGTTTTTATTTTTAAAAAATTATTTCAATTACGTTTTGTATTAGTTTGGTGCAAAAGTAATTGTGGCTTCTGCTATTAAAAGTAGTGGCAAAATCACAACTACATTTGTCCCAACCTAATAGTTTTCAGAGTATAAGTTTTTCACTCTTTTGTAAGTTTAGGTATACATATTTCATCTTGCTGCTATTGTAAATGGAATTGTTTTTTCATTTTCAGATTTTTCATTGAAAATTTATAGAAATGCAATTGATTTTCCTGTATTTATCTTCTATTGTGCAAATGTCATTGACTTGTTTATAAACTGCTGTTGATCACATCTCTTCAGTGTTGGGTATCATGCATTCAGCCATTCCCATTACGTTAGGGCAGAAACCCTTCTCTCATTAATGGGATAAAAAATTCTGTAAATAGAGTGATTAATTTTTAACACTGATTTTAATAAAAAAATAAACTGAAGGAACAACAGCCTTTCCATACTCCCAGGCAGACGTTCTCTCTAGTTCAAACATATTATTTAACAGAAAATTCAACTTTTTTTATAATATTACTCTTTGTTGTATCATATATACCCACTGAAACTCCTCCCCTGCCTTTCCTCAAGGTGGAGCTAAACAATAACTGGTATAGGATTCTTCAAATATTCTCATAACAGAGAATGGGAGAAAGATGTATATGTGTTCACATTTCTTAAGTTTATAATATGATTTATAGAAACTAATTCTGATAACTTCACTACCATATTCATCAGATACTCCCTTTAAGCAGCACTACCCATTAAACATACAGTATATTTTTAAATGTGTTCTTCAGATATAGTACAATATAGTATTCCTTCATTCATTCCAAGTTCAGAATTCAGAATTTAATAATAGAAGACTTAAAAGGAATAAATTTAAATTTACCTTACACCACACAATTACCATGTTACAGATATTTGAGATTTATTCTATAAAGGAAATAATAACACTTTTGATATGCCAAAAACTGTGTTAAGGATTTCCAATTGTTAAATAAAATACTCAGTCAACTAGGTTGTTTTATCTATTCTCATGTAAGAGACAATATAAGACACAGAACATTTAAGCAAATTTTCTAAGTAACAGATCTGGTATGGAGTAGAAGTGGGTATTACGCACAGCCAAAGGATTCTGGAATCTGCTCTTAATCACAATAGAAGACAGATGCACTGAGAGAAAAACAATTATTTTTTCTAACAGTCCTGTAATGCATAAATATATGAGTCTTTCAATACATTCCAATATCATTTCAAAAGTACAAACTTAAATTACATTGTATATTTTCAATATATCACTTTGTTTTTATTTCTCTTTGGTAAACATCTCTCCGAAAGTTAAAAGTTCTTCTCATAGGCAATTAATAAAATTTTCTATTTTTTTCATAATGTCTCTAGTTTCAAGGACATCATTTAATGTGAATCTAAAAGTTGGTATGGTTAATAAGTACACCGGGCTTTTGATAAAGAAAGTTATACCTACATCTGGCGCACACACACACACACACACACACACACACACACACAAATATATAGACCTGGCATGCAAACACATGATTGTTAAGTATGACAAAAATGCCACTTAAAGTAAGGTCATCAACAGATCTTCTAACATATTTACTACATAAGAGAGATGCAATGTGTTTTAATTTCAGCTATTTTGTTTTAAAATTAGTAAAATTACAAAAATCACAAGAACAATTATGACTCAATAAGTTTAAATTTAAAATATGTTATTAGTATTTTGCAATCTACTTCAGATTCTTAGAACTACAAGCAATACTATCATTTTAACTTTTCTTTCAAATAAACATTTTCTTACTAATTATAGCTTCAACACCTACTTAAAGTCTAACTTATTTAGATAATAGAATACTGGGATGACTACAAACAGCTCTTTTTCTGGAGAACTAATTTATAGAGTACTAGAGTCAGGGTAGACAAGATGAGTTTTAGACTTAACTTTTGAGGCTCAGATAAAAATGCCCTCATTTTATTTGCTACTCATCTATCGACTCAATAAGTTATAATTTAAGCAACAAGTTAACATTTAAATTTATTTTCTGATTCAGAAAAAGAGAGAAAATGTAATCATAGTGTATATAACAAAATCATGAAACCCAATTAAAATGTCTTAAATCAGAACAGTTAATGCCAGAAACAGAAACAACAAAATAGGTAGGAGAGATTTTCTACAGCATCGTTTTCTTCTTCTACTATGAGTGATTTGAGGAATCAAAAGCTTTCATTAATTAATCATCGGTCATCAGTCTTACCGTTCCAAGTTACATAGTGGTGCTCTTCCTCCTCCAAATCTTTGGCTCTCCAGGCTTACTTAATGTAATAATTAATAATTATGGTGAAACATTTCAAGGATAAATGATCTGGTTTGAATAAAATAGCTTACTGTTTTTTCACTGTAAGAGCCCTCTAGACATTAGATCTTTATCCTCACCTTGATACATTTTGGAAAAGTTTAAATATTCTTAAGTTTGTATTCCCTGGACTTACAAGGAAAATGAAGAGTGGTGAAAATCATAATAATTATTTCATGACCTTAAAAGAGTAAGATAAAACTTTATATACAAGCAGAGACCTAAACTGATCATTGAAAGACATCTAGGCAAATAACTTCTGTAATAGAAGCAGATTTCTAATATGTATGCTACCCTTCATCTTTCAGATTCAAATATGGTGACATTCAGAACCTGTATGTCAGTATTGAGGCCAGGACCTGAGACTTTTAATTCTGTATCTTACTCTAAAATTTTTACCAAATTTGTAGAGCATATCTCTGATTAATTCACAACAGTGCCCTTTTCTTCATTATCTTCTTCACAGCTTGTTGTGTCACTTTGGGTAGATTATAATAAATTGAGGATTTCTTATCACTCGTTTCCAATTTTTAAATGAACAACTGCTCAAAATGTACTGTTACTGCTTGTTTTTACTGTTCTTAGAACTATAGATTATGGACATCAATTTTTTGTATTATATTTTAACTTTCTATTTCTATTTACTGTGTTTCACTTTATTATTTAGCTTTTGAGAGTAACAATGGATGTGTAAGGTATCCTCAGGAAGACTTCACTTAATCACTGAACTCCTCTATTACAGAAGTGTAATTATAAAGACTTCCTTTAAGGGAGTGATTAACCCAAGTGAATTTGAATAAAAGATAACTTTCATAGGTCTCCAAATTCTTTCAAGCCTAAGAAGTATAAAATTTTAACTTCAGAGCTCCTATATTGGCTGTTGTTTCTGCCTCACACCCTGTTTCCCCAGATTTTTCAAATGATTGACTTGTTCTCATTGCCAAATACACCCTTTTCAGAGTTCAGCTTAAATATCACGTCTGCAGAAAGACTTTTCTTGAATAACCTGTCTAAATGAGTGTGAATATCTTATTTTATTTCATTTTTATATGATTTGAAAATGTTTTCGATTCTAATGTTTTTATTATATGTGTTTACATGCTTATTTTCTGACTTCTATTGTTAGAATGCAAATCTCCTTGAAGGCAGTGTCTTTATGGATTACTACATCCTCAGTACCTAAAACAGGGCCTGGCACAGTCAGTGCTAGGAATGCTTATGAATATGATTGATAAAGCATTATACTTGTATACAATTTTTCAGCATGTTTACAGGCTTAATACCTACATTCAAAAATAAGCAAGAATAGCTCTTGCCCTGAGGAGCCATCAGTAAAGTGGAGAGACACATATGATCCAATATCAGTGACAGGATACAATAGGGGCTTTTAGAGGCTGTATATACACATTATTTTAGGAGCTTAGTGCAGTAAGTTGCTCCAGTCTAAGAGTCAAACAGGCTGCACAGGTCACCTTTCACTGAAGTTGATAAGAGAAAAGGAACCCTGGCATCTTCAGGAGACATTTGAAGAAGCATTTCAGGGAGAGGTTATAGCAGGGGAAGAAACAAAAAGATAAAATCATGGTGACTAGAATTAAAAATATATTGTATTCTTGAAAAATCAGTAGAGAATGGATGTATGTGAAGTGCTCTCACCACAAAAATTGTAATTATATGAGGTAATGCTTATGTTAGCAAGAATTAGTCATTTCACAATGTATATATGTTTCAAAAGATCTTGTTGAACATGGGAAATACATATAATTTCCTCTGTCATTTATTAAATAAAAGCAAACAGATTTAAAAAAAAAAAAGAAAAAAGGCAACAGGAATAATTTGGCCCATCCAAAAATAGGAAGAAAGACAATTTGGGGCTGGGAGCAATAAACATTTTTTTTTTCAAAAAAAACTATCATGTCGTGTTGAAGATTGCAAAGTATATTTTAAAATAGACAGCTCTACCAAAAAATCATATTATGCATTTTGCACTGCTCTGGCAAACATTCTACTTTAGGGCTGTAGTGATGGCTTCAAATTGAAATTTATTTCAATCATGATGGCAGTGATAAAGTCCACATTTATATTTTTAGGTTTTATCTTCTTATGTTACCTCATTTAATACAACTTCAAATTGTTGATTTTATTTCTCTTACAGAGATAAGCAAACAGACTCAATTAGTTTTATGCCCCAAAAGCTTGTATGACATTACATTTTTGACCTTAGGCTATACTCTGCTCTTGCTCTTAAGATGACAAATACCAAAACGAGAAGGTACCCCAGTAGATTAGAGCTTCAACTCCTTTATTGTTTCCTAGGGACCAATTTAATTAGCTTTACAAACTACATGTGATATATATCAAGATAAAATTGAACTCTCTTTTGTGTAAACATAAGGGATTTCTGCAAGATATAATAATTTAAATTTTATTCTGATTATTTTATGTACTAGAACTTAGTGAATGCTCTATGTATTTTTTGAATCAAACATTAAAACCATATTCTAAGTAAAATATTTCCATAACTTTTAAAGTAGAAAGCATATCTTTAATTTTAGGATTTTATACATTTATCCATCAAAAAGTTGGTAATAAATGAGCTAATGTCCAAAACATATATTTAACAAAAGGAAAGTATAGATAACAAATACATTTTGAAATTATCTTTAAACTATGTAATTTTCCATATTTAAAACAACAGGAATTTACTAAAACCAATAAAATTAGAAATATGTCTGTTCCCAAAGTAATGATAAACTGCTTAGTCTACTCTGAAAAATTTTAATTAAGCAAAAACATTTTTGCATTGTATTAATGATTTAGGAAAAACATCAGAGTGACATTTCATTTCCGTTTCAATTGAAAGATAAACCTTATATTACTTATTTCACAGAACAATTATAAAAGAACTTTTTAAGCTTATTATTGAATGCTAATATGTAACATGTTAAAACATTATTTTGTATTGTTTTATGATTTATGTATCTGAAAAAATGTTCAACTAATGTGAAAGAAATATACAAAGAATCTTTGATGTCCATGGAGAAAAAACAAAATATTAAGAAATTAATAATTTAACATTAGAAATTGTCTTTTATGAAAAATCTTTTAGAACGTATTGAGAAACGTAGCAAAAAAGTGAGAAAATTTACTCATTTTCAAAGTTCCTCTTTTCTGATCTTCATGATTTCTAACAAGCATGTAAATTGCTGAGATTATCATCCTCACAGGAGAAACTCATATTTCTAATTTCATTTATTTATTGAATTAAAAAGCATGCCAGGCAGGGCGTGGTGGCTTACGCCTGTAATCCCAGGACTTTGGGAGGCCGAGGTGGGAGGATTACCGGAGGTTCGGAGTTCGAGACTGGCCTGACCAACATGGAGAAACTCTGTGTCTACTAAAACTACAAAATCAGCCGGGTGTGGTGGCGCATGCCTGTAATCCCACATACTCGGGAAGCTGAGGCAGGAGAAGCACTTGAACCCAGGAGGCGGAGGTTGCAGTGAGCCGAGATCGTGCCATTACACTCCAGCCTGGGCAACAAGAGTGAAACTCCATCTCAAAAAAAAAAAAAAAGCTTCCAATAACTGCCTCTTTGGGTTCTTCAAAATTCTAACTTGTTAAACTTGCGTCTGCAGCAGTTTTATGTATTGAATTTACTTTTATTTCTATTGATTTGCCATATATTTTCAGTTTACATTTTTCCATAGAGAACTTAATTCTATTTTCCTAGTAATATAACAACCACCATTTTATCAATAACACAGCTACCTACATATAACCTGCTATTGTCAATATTAAAACATGGCATGTTATTTTATTTTAAATTCCCAAATGAATTATGAAGTCAGTACTGTAGAGCTCAACCTTCACTCTAAGGGAATTTGGTCTGTTAAATTGCCTCTGTTATTATAACATACATTATCTCATATTACTGGAAAATACTGATCTTATGAATATTTTTCTCTTAATGGTATAGGGCATATGAGAACAAATCTATTCAAAATCTTGAAAGAATTTTAAACTTTAATGTGTTAGAAAGGACTTGCTTTTAAAATCCTTTTACTTGTTAAATATTGAAATGCAATGATTAAATATATTATTTTAGCAAAGGCCTTTTTTATTTCAATTGGTTGAAGCATATCTTTTGTATTTATTTATTTGAGACAGTCTTACTCTGTCACTCAGGCTAGAGTGGAGTGGCATGATCATAGCTCTCTACAGCCTGGAACTCCTGGGCTCAACTGATCCTCCCACTTCAACCTCCCTGAATAGCTAGGATCACAGGTATGTGCCACCACACCCCGTGAATTTTACTGATTTTTAGTAGAGAACAGGTCTTTCTCTGTTGCCCAGACTGGTCTTGAAGTCCTGAGCTCAAGCAATCCTTCTGCCTCAGCCTCCAAAAGTGCTGGGATTGCAGGTGTGAGCCATCATGCTCGGCTGGCATATCTTTTTTTAGCTTAATTTAAACCAGAAGTGTCCAATCTTTTGACTCCCGGGGCCACAGTGGAAGAAGAAGAATTGTCCTGGGCCACACATAAAATACACTAGCACTAACGATAGCTGATAAGCTAAAATGATTGCAAAATAAAACTCAATGTTTTAAGAAAGTTTATGAATCTGTGCTGGACCACATTCAGAACTATCCTGGGCCACAGGTCCAACAGCTTGATTTAGACCCTCTGTGACTACTTACCATCTAGAAAGAGCTGGCAATTACTAATGGGAAGATTGCTCATTGTTATGCATAGCATTCCTTAGTGACATTCATTTTGAGAGTATCTCCTCTGCTGTAATCGGGTAGGTCTCTAAAAATACTCTTGCCCACCCAGTGAAAAATTGATTGCCTTTTCTTTAAGTAATAGACAAGAAATTACTATAGTCTTCCTTTTTTGAAAATAGAAGTCCCAAACTTTATTTCCGGTGGCTAATGCTTCAAGTTGGCCACAATGAGATGAGACAAATGATAGGAGTCAGAAATTTGGGAATCAGCCGGAGAAGTACCAAGTTGTACACATAACAGAAAACTGGAACTTTTATATAGAAGATTACCTGGGATTTCTGAACTTAAACCCTTGTATTGTCATCTTATTTGTGTAATGTCTCTGGTTAATACTTGATGCAGTCTTTACCCTTTATGTCACAGAAAGTTTTTTGCCAAAGTTCTAAACTTTTAGTGAAAAAAACACACATTATTAATATTAGACAATATATTATATTTTTTGTTGAGACAGAGTCTTGCTCTGCCACCCCGGCTGGAGTGCAGTGGTGCGATCTCAAGCTCACTGCAACCTCTGCCTCCCAAATTCAAGTGATTCTCCTGCCTCAGCCTCCTAAGTAGCTGGGATTAAAGGCATGTGCCACCACACCCTGCTAATTTCTTTCTTTTTTTTTTTTTTTTTTTTTTTTTTTTGTATTTTTAGTAGAGCCAGGGCTTCACCATGTTGGCCAGGCTGGTCTCAAACTCCTGACCTCAAATGATCCACCCACCTTGACCTCCCAAAGTCCTAGGATTACAGGCGTGAACCGCCATGCCCAGCCATTAATTTTAAATCACGTAATAAATAAAAAATGTTTTTTACTAAATTACACTGAGTGTAGTAAAAACTCAATTGGGCGTGTTAAAAGGAAAGATTTAAGATTTGGAGATTTACTTTCTTGTATAATATTTGGCAATAGCTACCAGGTAAGATGGCTGTTTTATAAACTGACCTGGAAAACATTTGTACTCTTCCTTCACGACACAGGATTTTGCATGACTAAAACATGAAAGTCTACCTATTTATTTATACTTTTGCTGAAGTGAAATGAGTAGTCTTATTTTCAAAATACCCAAGATTCCAAATAATAATAAACTTTTCACTTTTAGATAAATCCTTTAGAACATGGGATATTAATTTTTTTAAAAAATATAGTTCTGTATTTATTTTTTGAGAAACCTCCATACTGTTTCCTTAATAGCTGCCCCATTGTACCTTCCCACTAAGAGTGTACAAACGTTTCCATTTCTCCACATCCTCACCAATATTTGTTATTATTTGTTCTTAACAGTAGCCATTCTAACAGGTATGAGGCAATATCTCATCATGATTTTCTTTTCATTTCTCTGATTATTAATGATATCTGTTCTTTTTATATACCTGTAGGTACTTTGTATGTCTTCTTTGGAGAAATGTCTACTCAAGTCCTTTGTCCATTTTTCAGTTATATTGTTTGGTTTTACTGCTATAAGCATTCAGAAGTGGGATCACTTCTGAATATTTACCCAAAACAATTGAAATCAGTATCTCAGTGAAACATTTGTACTCATGTTCATCACAGCATGATCATAATAACCAACATGAAAAAAACTTAAACACCTACCATCAGATGAGTGCAGAGTCAACATGTGGGATATAAACACAATGGAATACTATTTAGCTTTCAAAAAGAAGGAAATCTTGCCATACTTGAAATATGGATAAACCTTCAAGATATGTTAGGTGAAATAAGCCAGTCACACAACTACAAATACTACATGATTATGCTAATATGGAGTATCTAAAACGGTCATACTCATGGAATCAGAAAATAGAATGGTAATTGCCAGGGACCTAAGGGAGGGAGAAATAAGGAGGTGCTGTTGAAGCGGCATAAAGTTACAGTTAGGCAAAATGAGTAAGTTCTAGAAGTATGTTGCACAACATTGGCTTATAATTAACAATAATATATTGTAGAAGTAACACTTTTAAGAGTTTAAATGTTATGTTGTGTTCTTACCAAAAGACAACTTCTTTTCTTTCATACATTACTATTTTTCAGGGCTTTTACTTAACTAATTTTAACAAAATATATTATGTATTGTATTTAAATGTTCAATTGGTATACACTGGCTGTTGGAAATCCTTTAATTGGCTAAGTTGTCTATTAAGTGAAGTTCCATAAATTGTGGAAAATTTCTTGCTTTTCTGCCTGAAACAGAAGAAGTGACCCTTTAAGGAGCTTTGGTCACATTGAGAGACAAGTATTACTGCAAAATTCAAATGTATACAGTATTGATGTATTTTAGAAAGCACATGGATCAAACGTTGCTCTAAAGCTACTTTTATGACCAATATTAGAAAAAAATAGACATTTGAATACCAGCAACTCACCTTAAATATTTCAATTTAGCTCAAGATAGCTTTATAATATGCTCTGCTTCTTTATTATGAACTCATTACCTAAACCATAATTTAATCCTTTGTTGTAGTTTCTGAACCATGTGATTAATACTTAAGAATAACTTATTTTTCAAACAAATTCAAATGTCAATGTTGATATAAATTAAGAATGAATAAAAGTATTTAACTCCATATTATTTATGACTGTATTTTGAGTATATTTAATGTTTTCTAAATTGTAAATGATTTTTGAACATGTTGGTATTTTAATAGATGTCATTGATTTCTTGGGAATAGCTTTGTAGGTAGTATCTTAAAAACTCAATGTATAATTTCATTGGAATCTCAACTTAATTGGCCGGGTGCGGTGGCTCACGCCTGTAATCCCAGCACTTTGGGAAGCCGAGAAGGGCGGATCACGAGGTCAGGAGATTGAGACCACGGTGAAACCCTGTCTCCACTAAAAATACAAAAGAAAAAAAAATTAGCCGGGTTCAGTGGCAGGCGCCTGTAGTCCCAGCTGCTGGGGAGGCTGAGGCAGGAGAATGGCGTGAACCCAGGAGGCGGAGCTTGCAGTGAGCTGAGATCGTGCCACTGCACTCCAGCCTGGGCGACAGAGCGAGACCCCGTCTCAAAAAAAAAAAAAAAAAAGAATCTCAACTTAATTACTATGAAATGCAAATAAAATAGTCTCATTTGGCTACCAAGTGTTGTTCCTGTAATGCTGATGCATGTTTATAATACATGATGTATAAACAGGACAATTTTATTAATAGAATTACTGATAAGATTTACATTAAAAATATCCTAACGTGAAAATTTTTATTTATTTTTAAAAATTATTTTGTTACGTTTTCCTCTTATGTAACATATACTTATTATCTTTAATAAATTTTAAGTAAATACATATATAGGGGTAAAAATACATTCATGGTTACATCAAATTTTTAAAATATATACTAAGCATAACCAAAATGTATTTTAAAAGATAAGATCAATTATATATAATTTATTTTATAAATTCAGGCATTTGGAAATGCCAATATGGTTTACAATATAGTTAAGAACATATAGCTAGTTATAAGATAATGTAACTCATTATACAATTTTCTTCTTTTCAAATTTTATAAACAGCTTTTATGATTTTTTTTTCCACAGGCAGGCTCTCTCTGTCATCAAGGCTGGAGTGCAGTGGCCTGATCATAATTCACTGCAGCCTTGAACTCCTGGGCTCAAGATATTCTCCCAACACAGCCTCCCACATAGCTGGGATTACGGGCACGTGCCACCACATCTGGCTCTTATTTTATTTTGTTGTAGAGACAAGAGTCTCACTATGTTGCCCACACTGGTCTTGAAGTCCTGGCCTCAAGCAATCCTCCCATCTCAGCCTCCCAAAGTGTTAGATTACAGTTGTGAGCCACCACTCCTGGCCTATAAACAGTTTTAGTTAGACTCCAAAATACGGTGCTTATCATTTCATAGTATAGTAATTTAAATGTTAAAAGTCATTTTTAAATTTGAAACCATAATTGTATTAATATTGCTATACCATTTTATTATTTATAATAATTTGATACATATTATTCATAAAAATTAGCTAAGAACACTTAAATAAAAGTGTCTATATTATTTTATATCATCATTTTCATTTTATTAAAAATAAAGTTCAATGCCAATATTAAAACTACAACAGGCAGTCAGCCTTCTTCATTTGTTGGTCTCACATCTATGGTTTCAACCAACGCTAGATCAAAACCTTTTGTAAAAATTTCCACAAAAGACAAAACATTAATTTTCTTTGTGTGGAGAACTACATTGAATACATGTGAATTAAGTGCTGTGTAGGCATTTTATTAGGAATTATAAGCAATCTAGAGATGACTTAAGATATATAGAGGATGTACATAGGTTATATGTAAATACTATGCTATTTTACATGAGACACATGAGCATCCACAGATTTTGGTATGGTGAGATTAGGGAGGTTCTGGAATCAATTTCCAATGAATACTGAGGAAACACTGTATTTTAATTTACACCCATATTTACATAGTCTCAAGAATATCGTACAAAATGTTAACTGTTAATATCTTATATGTAAAATAATTTGTAATTTGAACATTTAGGATCCACATTTTACAGGTTTAAAATATAACATGTGGTATGATTTGGATGTATGTCCCCACCCAAATCTCATATAGAATTGTAATCCCCACTGTTGAAGGTGGGGCTTGATGAGAAGTGATTGGTTGGATCATAAGGAAGCTTCTCATGAATGGTTTAGCACCATCCCCCTTGGTACTGTCCTCCTGGCAGTGAGTTCTCCTGAAATGTGGTTATTTAAAGTGTAGCACCTCTCCCCTCTCCTCACCCCTGCTCCCCTCATGTGAGATGTCTCCCTCCCTCTTTGCTTTCCACCACCATAATTGGAAGCTCCCTGAGGCCTCCTCAGAAGTAGAAACTGCTATACTTCCTATACAGTCTGCAGAACCGTGAGCCAATTAAACCTCTTTTTTTTAAATAAATTACCAGTCTCCTTATTTCTTTATAGCAATTTCAGAACAGACTAATACATCATGACAGTATTATTACTATACTACATAGTTGAGCATACTAACATCTTATAATTTATTTCGATCTACCTGAAATGTTTGTGGTGTTTGAAAATACCAAAAAACATCTTTGAATTAGTTTTTAAATTAGTTTTTGATTGTGTCTATTGTTTTCAGAAAGACACATAACTGAGAATAAGTCCATTGTATCACAAGCTTTGAAAGATGGGAATTTTGAAATAATTATCACAAATTTTTGAAAGCTTTATATATTTTGACTATGTAATTTTACTTCTAGAAATTTTACAGAACAAAATTAAGGAATTTTTAAAAATTATAAATGAATATTTTTATTATATACCACCTAAATATTAAAGTGTTGATTGAATATCTATAGGATGCATTCTTATAATAGGATTGTGAGTGTTTTTAGCAATCAAAGCTAGGTGGGTGTTATGACCTAGAAGAATCTTAAATAGAGTTCAAATTATTTTTAATATTCATTAAAATATGGGATATGGCTCTAATTAGTATACACATTTAAGAAAATATATTCACTGGAAGTACTTAACATAAGTAAGTTGATAAATTAGATGAGATAAAAATTAAAAACCTCTAAATATTGAAAAAGACATTTAGGGAAATTAAGAGGCATGCTAGAGGCTGAAAGAAAACATTTGCAATACTTACATTTAGCAAAAGACTTGTTTCCAGACTACATGTGTGTGTGTTCATGTGCATATCTGTGTCTATAATTTCATATTTATGAAATTCTAGAATAGGAAAAATTAATCTATAGTGGATAGTGCCATAGTCTGATTGCTAGAGGGGATTTATGTCACAATGGCATAAAGAAATATTTAGATATAAAGGAAAAAATATTTCTTTATTGAGACAGGATCTCACTCTGTTCTCCTGCCTGGAGTGCAGCAGTATAGTCACAGCTTACTGCAGTCTAGAACTCTGGGGCTCAAGTGATTCTTCTGCCTCAGTTTTCTCAGTACCTGGGACTACATGCACAGGCCACCACACTCATCCAAAGTTTTTATTATTTTGTAGAGATGGGGTCATGCTATGTTGCCCAGGCTAGTCTCTAACTCCTGGGCTCAAGGGAAACTCCATCTAGGCCTCCCAAAGCAGTCAAATTGCAGGCATGAGACACCACGCCTACTCCCAAAAAAATCTTTCATAGTTTGATTGTGATGGTGATTATACCCATGAATTCATTTGTTACAACTCATAGAATTGAGCTATAAAAATAAGTGTACTTTATTGCAAGGAAACAAAACTGCCATATAATTATTTTTAAAAGGAAACTGAAAAGAAAATCCAAAAATTAGAAATATTTGCACAACATGTAAACAATAAAAATTTGTAATCCAAATATACAAAACATTAGGAATCAGAAAGTGAAATGCAAACAATGCAATAGAAAATATGCAAAAGACAAAAAGCAATATTTTACAGAGAAAATCATTGTAAGTATGAAAATAAGTGTTCAAACTCACTTTTTTGGTTTTGTTTTTTTTTTTGAGATGGAGTCTCGCTCTGTCGCCCAAGGCTGGAGTGCAGTGGCACAATCTCGGCTCACTGCAACCTCTGCACCCAAGTTCAAGTGATTCTCCTGCCTTGGCCTCCCAAGTAGCTGGGACTACAGGTGCCCGCCATCATACCCAGCAAATTTTTGTATTTTTAGCAGAGACGGGGTTTCACCATATTGGCCAGGCTGGTCTCGAACTCCTGACCTTGAGATCCGCCTGCCTCGGCCTCCCAAAGTGCTGGGATTACAGGCATGAGCCACCGCGCCTCTAAACCATTGTAAGTTACTTTTGCTTACTCATCATCATGATAAAAAATAACCTGATGTTACCAGTTGTTGAAGATATGGCCAACCAAAAAGTTCCCATGTTGGAATGTAAACTGATACAACTACATTGGAAAATAATTTGGAGTCACCTTAGGAAACTGAATATTCAAATATCCCATTAACCAAAAATGGCACACCTAGTTTTATTCATGGAATGAGTTCCTGTTCACATGTTCAGGATGGCATGTACATAAATATTCAGAGTAGCATTGATCTTAACAGCTTAACGTTTGAGAACATTCTATATGACCATTTCCAGAAGAAAATATACATTGTCATAATTCATAAAAGGAAATACAAAAACGTGTTTTAATATGGATAAATCCCTAAAAACAATTGAACCAAACAAGTGAGTCAGAGAACACAAGCATACATCTAGTGATATATTTTTTCAAATATAAAGAACTAAAAAATATATTTTTAGTAAAATTTCTACAGAGTAAATAATACAATATATAGCACAAATGTGAGAATAATGATTAAGTCTGGCATGGGACAGACAAAAATAAAATTGTAGGGCACAAATGTAGTTCCAAAGATGTTGATAATTTCTTAATCTGGGTACTGAGTAACTTTTTAATGTATCGTTATTCATAAAATACTGTTCCTCATCTCTTCTATTTTACAATCAATATATTTCAAAATTAAGTGTTTAAAATGTAAAACAAAATTATATGAGTCACAGAAATATTTACTTTGGTTCTCATTTGTTAAAAAATGTAGTCATAAGAGCAATTATGGACTAATTATAAAAATAAGTACAGAATAGATTATATGAATCATTTGACATTAGCTTTTCATCAAATTTAAATGACAGGAGTCTATTACGATTTTTTTTTCAAACAATGTTTAATGGCTTTTGTTCAATTTCTTCTAGATACATTTTTAGTAATATTATTCTTATAATTGTTTTGCTATTTTTCATCAGATTTAAATTGTATTGTTCAAGAGCTTTACATTATATTTGTATAATAACACTAAATATGAATAAAAGAGAACTGTACTATGAGGACATTACTACCCTAGGAAGGGATAGAATTAATTGTTACTGTATAGAGATGCTGGAAAGGTCATTTATACTGAGCATTTTTATGTTTTGTTTAATTTGGTGGTCCTTTACACAATCTCATTATTAAAGAAATTCAGAAAATCGATACCCAAAAAATAAGATTTTCTGAATTATAAATAGCAATAATCATTAATATGCAAATGGTTGAAGTAAATTTCCTGTAATCCTAGCACTCTGGGATCCTTCCAAGGTGGGAGTATGACTTAAGCCTGGAAAGTTGAGGCTGCAGTGAGCCATGATTCCATCACTGCACTCCAGACTGAACGACAGAGCACAACCATGCCTCAAGAAAAAAAAAAGTCTCTTTCAACTTGAATTATAACAAAATCTACTCATATGATCTTTACAAGAATCACATCTAAGAGACAATAATCAGTTGAAAGTAGTCAGGCGAAAAATGTAAAATATATGCACCTATAGTCAAGTCCCAAACTGTCACTACATTAATATTAGACTAGGTAAAGTTTATGATCAAAAGCATTATTTCTGATGATAAAGGGATATTATAGGTAAATAATCTGTAATACAGTAAAAACATAGCAGCATTAAAATTCAAGCCAAATTATGCAATGGCTAAGTAATACAGTAAAAAAATTAAAAATAACAGAAAATTGTGTTTTAAGTATATATGTAGTTATTGTAATTCAACATACTTTTTCATAATTTGGCATATCAAGATGTGAAAAATTAGTACAGATGAATTTAATAGAATCAGCAGCAAATATGAACATACCTACTCATATATATCTAGCTCTACTGTTGTATATAAACTCAGAAAATAGACATTTAAAAATTCTATTAACAGAGGAAATATTTCTTTCATAACCCAATGAAAGGTATACACAATATTTTCTGTATT
Source organism: Homo sapiens (assembly GCF_000001405.40). Taxonomy (NCBI): domain Eukaryota; kingdom Metazoa; phylum Chordata; class Mammalia; order Primates; family Hominidae; genus Homo; species Homo sapiens. The sequence continues at coordinate 103,094,065 of NC_000009.12, forward strand.
CTTTGTTACATATTTTAAATAGAGATTTTCAGATCACTTTTTAATTTTAGGAAACCCACCTACAAGTCATCCATTTTTTAAAAAATTATAAATTTATTCTCACATGAAGCCCAATTAATTGAAAATTCAGGTCACAGGCATTATAAAAAAATTGATGTCTATTTCAGGGAAGAAATTAAATCAGATTTGCAAATCATCTAAGAAAATTATATAAATTACTTTCCAAAATACATGACAGTGAACTAAAACTGATTTCAGGGAACAACCTGAAAATGTTAATATTATGTCAAAATATTCAGAAAGTCAAATGTAAGATGACTTGATTAAAAATTGATAAATATTCAAATGAATGATTGTCAAATGAGTCAACTCAATTACTGTTAGTAAAATTTATTATAAAAGTTTAATAAAATACATTAGGAAATAAAATTATCAGTATATTTGTCTTCAAACATACAGATATATGTTTCTTATTTATTTTAATAACATTATGCTTTAATAATTTCTAAGTAATACGAGTATATAGCTTACTAGTATAAATGATACTGGTTAATTCATTTCCAAAGAGAAATCTTGGTATTGTCTTCTCATTGAAGACTAGCCAACACCATTCTGCAAATGAAAAATAATCCTGGGGGAAAATTTGCTTTACCTCATTATAAAGTCACATTATACTATAATTGATCACTAGTAAAGCATAACAATCTCAAAAATAGTAAAAATATATATGAGAAGTTCATATGACAAAGTAGGATTTATTTCTGTTGGAAATGTGTAAGATAATAAATAATTTTTGCAGATTAAGAATAATTAACATATTTTTTAAAAACTAAGAAGATGAGAAAATATATAAAAAAGACAAATTAAATCATGTATTCTACTCACATCGCAAAGTTATTAAATTTAGGAATCTGTAAACTAGATGTATATTTTTGGATTCTAATTTGTCTAGTTAGTAGCTGTGTGAGCCTGAAAAATGTGTTTATTTTTACATGCCTCGTTGTTCTCATCTGCAACATGCAGATAATTATAACAAATATCTATGAATTTATATGAGAATTAGTTGAGTTAAATTTTAAAATAATGTCCAACACATAGAAGGTACCAGTATCACTATTAAAAAAATAAATAACCCCTGATTCAGAAGATAACATAGGATGCAAAATAGAAAAAATATCATATTTGGTGAGTTAACGAATATACATATTTTAATTCTGAGGAAAAAATTTAAGCCGCATTTGTGAGAAAAATAGGTTTTATGAATCATGAATAGTTTTAATTCACTAGAAAAATGAATCAAGAATTTCAGTAGAAGAGGAAATAGAAATAGCTAATCTACGACAAAATATGTATTTAGTAAAATTTAAGTCAATGATAGGGCAATATTTTCTCTCATCAGATAGGCAAAATACAAAATAAAAATAAATTCAATGCTAATAATACTGTGAGGAAACACAAACCCCTACTTTAATTGTAGAAGTGTGAAATTATTTATGGAACTTATAGAAATTAGCTTGCAATGTATTTTAATAATAATTTTATAATTTAGTATATTACTTAATCCAATACCTCAAATTTGAATCAGTCTTTTAAAGCCTGAAAATTCTAACATCTCTAAATTATAGCACTGTTTGTTGTGGGAGGATGAAAAACCTGACAACAATTTAAATGCTAATCAGGAAGTATAGTAGAATAAATTACATAATATGCATATTATGGAATATTACACATGAATTAAGAAAACAAATAGTTTCATAGTTATTAGCATAAAAAGCTCAGGTGATAAATACATAAGTGATACAAGCTGTTGAGTATTGTATAAAATAGTAATACAAATATATAGGTCTGTGTATTAGTATAAAAAATTATATAGAAGAATATGTATTATACTATTAATTCTGAAGTGGTAATATGGAGTAAGTCGATTGTTAATTATTCACATTGAGACATATTATATTGGTAATAACAATCAAAATATAAACTATCAATGTAAAAGGAAAAATTACCAACATTGAAGAATAACCTACTTTTTAGAAATAAGGACTTTCATAATATGATGTATGAAAGAGTTCTTCTGGAAAGTCTCCTGCTAGAAGCCTTGTGTCTCCTGTCTTAATTTCCAGCCAATCACAGACATTGACTTTTTTGGATTTTTTGGCGAAACTATGTCTAGCCACAAACTTTACTTATAGATAGATAGTATACCCTTATGTATTGTACAGCTTCTTCATACATATATAATTTTTGCTCTTTATCTCTCCCTACATCCCCCTCTCTCTATATATATACACACACACAAACATATTATACATACATGATATACACATTTATATATATATATTACATATATACATATATATGTAATACATAGATCTTTAGATGACCTCTAGATCAGAATAATCCTAAATTCAATGATTTCATTCAATGAGTACATTCCTGGGGCTTTTAAAGTACAAAACCTTGTCCTTCAACGCAGGAAGTCAGCAAGAAAAGCTAAGGCAGGCTTTCAGGACAGCAGTCAGCAAGAGAAGCTAACACAGGCTATCAACTTGAATTTGTGAAAAGGCCTGCTTTCCCCACCTGTTCTGAGCCTTCTGAAACTCAGATGATAAAAGAGAATAACAAAGATATAGGAAGAAGGTAGCTGAAGAAATTCCAGCAAGACTGGAGTTATTTTGATTTTGAAGTAAAAGGGACTAATGTATTATATATTGGTGTCGCCAGAATAAAGTTGAATATCTGCATGCAAAAGAGTGAAATTGGACACTTAACACACCACACACAAAAGTCAACTCAAAGAATTAAAGATTTAAATGTACAACCTGGTAACATAAATTATTAGAAAAAACACAAGGTAAATAGCTTTCTGACATTGGTATAGGCAATGATTTATTTGCTATGATACTAAAATCACACACAAAAGGAAAAATAAACAAATAGAGCTGTAGCAAACAAAAAAGCTTCTACACAGCAAATTTAAAAATTGACAGAGTGAAGAGACAACCTACAGAATGGGAGGGGAAATTTGCAATCTATCTGATAGTCTGGCGTTAATATCCAAAATATGTAACAAACTTTTACAATAAGAAAAAAAAATGACGTGATTAAAAAATCTGCAAAGGGCCACACACAGTGGCTCATGTCTGTAATCCCAGCCTTTTAGGAGGCTGAGGCAGGAGGATCGCTTGAGCCCAATAGTTGGAAACGAGCCTGAGAAACATAGTGAGACCTGCTCTCTACAGAGAAAAAAGATAAAAAGAAAAGAAAGAAAATAGCCAGGTCCTGCATGTCTGTGGTCCCAGCTACTTGGGAGGCAAAGGCAGGAGGATTGCTTCAGCCTGGGAGGTCCAAGCTGCAGTGGGCTGTGTTCATGCCACTGCACTCCAGCCTCGGTGACAGAGCAAGGACTTTGTCCACAAAAAAAAAATCTGCAAAGGACTTGAAGAGACATTTCTCAAAAGAAGGCTACAAATGACAATCAATTATTTGAAAGGTTGCTCATCATCACTGATTATCAGAGAATTACAAAGGAAAATCATAATGAGATATCATCTCATACCTGTCAGGAGAGTCTTCCTCAAAAATTAGAATAGAACAAAACAAAACCAGAAAATAATAAGTGTTGGTGAGAATATAAAGAATATAGAACACTTGAATACTGATTGTTAGGAGTATAAAATCGTGCTGGCATTAAAGAAAACAGTACAAAATTTCCTTTAAAAATTAAAAATAGAACTATCCTATTATCCAGAAATCCCACTTCAAGGCATATATCCACAAAAATAAAATAAGGTATTCAAGAGATAATTACACTCCTATGTTCACTGCATCATTAATCACAATAGCCAAGATGTGGAGTCAACTTAAATGTCCACTGATGGATTAATGGATGAAGAAAATGTGGTATAGACATGTAGTTGACTGTTATTCAGCTTTAAAAAGAAAGGAAATCTGCCATATGCCAATGCAACATCATGGATGAACCTTGAAGACATTATGCTAAGTGAAATAGCTGTCACAGAAGGACAAATACTGTATGATCTGACTTTTGTGAGGTATCTACAATAGTCAACTCATAGAATCAGATAGCAGAATGGTAGTTGCCAGGATGAAGATAGAGCGGAATGAGGAGTTGCTATGCGAAGGGTATAAAGTTTCAGTTATACAAGATTAATAAGTTATGGAGACCTGCTATACAACACTGTTAGTTAAAAATGCCATATTGCACACTTAAAATTTTGTTAAGAAAGTTGATCTCAGGTTAAGTGTTCCAATCACAATAAAAAAGTGAACCATAGTAAAACATAATGCAAAATATAAAATCATTTTGTTGATGTTATTGAGGCTCAATCAATATTTTAACATGGGATTCAGAGCTTGGGACCTAGAGAAAACAGGGAATGAGCAAGTGACTTGGAATAGATATAGATTTGTAGATATTTGGTTTCAGGAATTATTGCATGAATCCTACATTTTCCTTCCACACTGCCCTAGCAGAGGTTCTCCAAGAGGGCTCTGCCCCTGCAGCAAACGTCTGCCTGGACATCTAGGTGTTTTCATACATCCTCTGAAATCTAGGCAAAAGTTTGCAAACCTCAATTCTTGACTTCTGCATACTCACAGGCCAACACCGTGTGGAAGCTGACAATGCTTGAGGATGGCACCCATGGAAGCCACAGCCTGAGCTGCACCTTGGTCCCTTTTAGCTGCAGCTGGAGTGGCTGGGAAACAGGGCACCAAGTCTCTAAACTGCACAGAGCAGGGGGTTCCTGTGCCCATTCCACAAAATCATTTTTTCCTCCGAGACCTCTGGGCCTGTGATGACAGGAGCTACCATGAAGGTCTCTGACATGCCCTGGAGAAATTTTCCCCATTGTCTTAGCAATTAATATTTGGCTCCTCATCACCTATACAAATTTCTGTAGCTGGCTTGAGTTTCTCCTCAGAAAATGGGTTTTTCTTTTCTATCATATCATCGGCTGAAAATTTTCTTAAATTTGATGTCCTGCTGTTCTTTTAAACATAACTTCCAAACCATGTGTTTGTGAATACATAAAACTGAATGCTTTTAACAGCACCCAAGTTACTTATTGAATGTTTTGCTGCTTAGAAATTTCTTCCACCAGATAATCTAAATTATCTCACTCAAGTTCAAAATTCTACAAATCTCCAGGTCAAGGGCAAAATGCCGCCAGTCTCTTTGCTAAAGCATTACAAGGGTCACCTTTGCTCCAGTTCCAAACAAGTTCCTTATCTCCAACTGAGAACACCTCAACCTGGATTTCACTGTCCATATCACTATCAGCATTTTGGCCAAAACCATTTAACAAGTCTCTAAGAAGTTCCACACTTCTCCACATCTTCCTGTCTTCTTCTGGTCTCTCCAAACTGTTCTAACCTCTGCCTGTTACCCAGTTCCAAAGTTGCTTCCATATTTTCAGTTTTCTTAGCAGTAGCACCCCATTCTACCACTACCAATTTACTGTATTAGTACATTGTCATGCTGCTAATAAAGACATACCCAAGACTGACTAATTTATAAAGGAAAGAGGTTTAATGGACACACAGTTCCACATGGCTGGGGAAGTCTCACAATCATGACAGAAGGCAAAAGAAGAACAAAGTCATTTCTTACATGTCAGCAGGCAAGATGGCATGTGCAGGGAACTCTCCTTTATACAATCAGCAGAACTCATGAGACTTATTCTCTATCATAAGAACAGCATGGGAAAAATCTAACCTGATGATTCAATTACCTCCCACTGGGTCCCTCCCATGACACATGCAGATTATTACAATTCAAGGTGAGATTTGGGTGGGGACACAGAACCAAACCACATCATAGTTGTTTGAATTAATTATCTGAGACCAATCTATCTGTGTTTTGGAAGTCATTTAACCTTTGTAAGTCTCATTTTACTCATCTCTAAATTAACATGGTATTACTGACACTTACTGTACCATGTTATAGTGAGAGTTAAATATAGTGTATGAGAAAGTACGTTGCAAACTATAAATTTCCATTCAGATATCATTATTTAAGCAATTATACATATTAAACTTGTTATCTAAGATTAGTTTTTGTATATGCCAACCAACTCCAGCTAATGCCAAATTTTAAAATACAGCCCTTTAAAATCAGCTCCTTTAAGGACAAAAATTTACATTTCCCCTGGTATCCACAAATAGGTCATATATTATCTACCTATTGTACAACTCATTAATTTAAAACTGTATCTATCCCTTCAGAGAAAATGATCCAGAATTGTTTTTAAAACTACAAGGCAACATCCATTCAGTTAAAAGATTAATGATAACCCATGTTAAGTCATCATCATTCATTCCTATAATTCAAAGGTAAATTAACCAGGTGTAAAATCATGACCACAAAGGTATTTTTAAATAACTGTTTTTATCAACATTTTTAAATACCATAAAGTGGTACATGCTCTTCCTTGTCATTATTCTTACTTTGTCATTCTCTACTAATTCAGTGTCATTTTAGAAAAGCTTTAAATTTATTATAAAACCTATGTTTGGAGAAGCATTATTTTAAAGGGCTTTTAAATCTTCAGAAATCTTATAAAAATCTATTATCAAGTCTCCTCTTTTCACAGCTAGAAATAATTGTTTGAAAACTGTTTACCCAGAAAGTAAATTATAGAAGGCCAGAAATCATTAAAATTCCTGATTTTAAGAGCTGTGTTGTCATAGGAGGAAGTAAAATTGGACAGTCAAACAAACCAGCAAAACTACAACCACAAAAAGTCATTAGTATCATGACTTGAAATTAAATTATTTGCAAGTACAAGTTCAGCTCCTCACTTCTTCCCTATCATCTAATTCATGGCACACTAGTTTTGTCCTTAATAAGTATTAAACAAAATTAAGAAAAAATATGTTACATAACTTTGGACTTCTGCTTCCAAAAAGGAGTGATGTCTTTGTAGATTGATAAATGGAACATGTTCATTAGGATGAATTTTGAGAGAATGGAGCAGAAGGGGAGAATATTAATAATGGGTACTAAAGCAAATTTGACTTATTTCTAGTAACTTGGTAAGATTAAAAGAAGCCAGAATCAAGGAGGCCAATCCATCTTTTTATTTGACACTCTGTTTCTATTCCCCCTCTCAGTGACTCTTCCTTGCTTAAGAAGTTTCCTCATCTCTGCAGACCCTTAGAAAATCTACCAGGACTTAGAAGAGAAGAGAACTATTTAGAATGAGATTATTTATACATATAACTGCAGGTAGCTGCTGGTGGGATTAATTATAAATTTTGAAGACCACTGAAAACTTGTCAAGCTAATAAATCAGCTTCATTTAGACAAAGTCCTAAGTCAGAACAAGGCTACTATTCCATTGGTCAATGACCTATAGGCAAATCCGATCATGTTGGTCTTAGACTTTAACACTTCAAGCTACCTAGAAAACTCTGCCCACATATATAGAGAAAAACTCTTGAATATTAATCATTCTTATTCTATTTAGGAAGATTTCAGTGCCTATAATTTTTTTCAGGGCACTAAGATAGGGATTACTTTCAACTGGTAAATCTTTTACTAATAAACTTTCCTTATGTTATCAATCATGATAGGTAGAATACCTGACACCTAGAGTCTTCTTTCTACTTTATTTGATTTCTCAACCATTTTGAGGTATAATTCTCAATAAATTTTAAATGCAACAGGAAAATAATCAAAAACCTTTTATTCTGCAATTATGAAGGCTAGTTGAATGCCAGGGAATAAAAAAGCTATGAAAAATGAAGGTATGAATGGAAACACACGCTTACTGTCTGCTTGTTTGTGGTTTTATTTTTATTTGAGGGAAAAATGACTGGAAAGACTAACAGATGCATCATTTTGGGGCCATGAGAAAGTTTTGAGAACAGAAGTCCATGGAAACACAATAAAGATAACATAAAGTTTCTCCAATTGAGCTTTTACATTTATGTTTTTCATATTAATAATGTTTTAATTAAACAATCACATTTAATAGCATGTATTTTATTAAGAAATATGTACAGTATCCAGATTCATAAAGGAAAAAAGAAAAGGAAAGTCTTTCTTGGTTCTATCTGTCCAATCCCACTACCACACAATAACTACTATAAACACTTTGATGTGTTTATTTTCTGATATTTGAAATATATACTCATTTGATATAGGTCATTTGATAGCTACATTGATGTGTTATTTATTCTATTCCTATTTTAAAACATTTGATTTATATCATTTTTATTGAATAAATAATGCTATAATTAACATATAAAAAGAAAGGGTTTGATTTGTCCTTGAGAGGACAAATGGCCTGATGCTCTATCTTTAGGCTAGAAAAGTAGTAACACAAAGAACGAAGGCCCAAAAGAGCTAAGCAATTCTGCTAACTGATAAAGATGGGCTTAGTCTGGTTAAGGTACAACGACAAAGTCCAATTCATACTGGTACAACTGCTTCTAACAGGTAGAATAGCTATAAATAAAAATAATGCATGCATATTTTTCTAAAACTTTAAACAGTTCAGTTCCCCAATTCCCAAACTCAATTTACTTTTAATTTCACAGGTTATAAACTCCAGACAACTAGTCACCATTGACAGGCATTTGGCTGAAATTAAAAAAGAAGAAAGTCTTCTAGCACCCAGCTTCTATTTTCTCTACCTTTCCACCAATTATTATGAAGCCACCAATAAAAAGTAAAACTAGTTTACAGTATATATTGTTTTTTATAGGACAATACTGTTTGCTTGGTAAATTCCATTTTATGAGAAAGTTGATCTCTATGTATAAGCAACTATAGTTGTCATATTTGATTCTAGCTACATGATTGTGCTTCCTAAATTTTGTGAATATAAGGCTGGTGCTTTGGTAATATTATATGTCCTCTTTATGGCAGTGGCGGCCCATCTGGCATATCCACTGTGAAGATGCCGGCTGCACTGGGGGAAGAGTGGCCAGCGCTGCATCCTCCATGGAGTCAGTGGGAGCTGGGAACAGGTAGGAGTTCTGCCCCCTTCTTAGTTGGTGGGGCAGGAACCCCACCCTGCTAGCTCAGCTGCAGCCTCACTGCTGCAGCTGTCAACTCAGGCATCCCTGCACTCTTGCTAGTCTGGGAAGCACCCCTGCTGGCTCCAAAGTGTCTGCTCACACTGCCTGGACCCTCCCTGCTCCCAGGTCCAGCTCTGATTTTGAAGCAAAGTTGAGGCCAAGCCTGGGTGCTGTCACAACCCAGCTGGGTGTGCTGACACATCAGCCCCCTGCTGCCTTGGCCCCCTCTGGACATTGAGTGCAAATGAGCATGAGAGGGAGGGCAAAGGGGACTTCAGGGTGGCTTGGTGCAGGCCTGAAGGTGACCCTTGTCATGAACAGTCTGTGCACCATGGATGACATGTAGATGGCATCAGGAGGCAGACAGGCTCCTGGGTAGAAAGGGGCTGATCCCTGGTGAAGCTCCACCTTCAGACCAGGGAAGGCTTGAAACCTAGAGGCTGGGCTGTCAGTTCCAGGTGGAGTCTGTGGCTGTAGTGAGAACTTACCATGCTTTTTTAGGGCCAGCCCATGACTGCCCATAGAACATTCAGCACATACATCCTCCCTTCTGAGCCCATAAAGACCACAGACTCATACGAGACTTGGGCAGATGTCGGGATGACCTGCCTGCCGATAGTAGCTACCCACTCCGGGTTTCCTCTCTGCTGAGGGCTGCAGACTCGACAGGATGACCTGCCTGGGGAAAGGAGCTCCCTACCTCAGGTCTTCTCTCCATTGAGGACTGCAGACACGATGGGACAACCTGCCTGTGGAAAGGAGCTACCCACTCTGGATCTCGTGAAAGCTGTTCTGTTGCTCAATAAAGTACCTCTCTGCCTTGCTCACCCTCCATTGTCCATGTACCTCATTCTTCCTGGATGCAGGACAAGAACCTGGGACCCATCAAATGGCAGGGCTGAAAGAGCTGTAATAGAAACAGGGCTGAAACATGCCCTCCACTTACCACGTTTCAGGAAAAGAGAGAAGGAGAGAAGTGTCATGGCCCTTCAGGGAGCCCAGACCTAGGAGCTACCCAAGCTAGGGCTATGACACCCAATCTGGGGCTCTGTGGTTCTCGGTGTCTCCAAGATCCGGGCACTACCACGTTCCCCGGTGCCCACAATGGAAGCTGCCTCTGGTATGCCTGGTCTAGCCGTAGCCTCACAGGGAGCTGGCACCCATGTTGGCACCTAGAGCTACCCACCCCACTGCAGCTAGCATGCCTGGCTGTACACAGTGGCCAGACCCCATGCTCGCTTTCTCATGGACCCCTCGCCACTCATTTCTGGGTCACCCTTGGCAGGCATGGGATCCAGGCTAGTAGCAAGAGCCAAGCGCAGGCTGCCAGGGCCAGTAGGTGGAATGAGCCCAGTGGGCCTGAGCAACTCGGGGAACAGCACCACTGGCCAGAGATTTCTGGCTGGAAGAGTGACATCTGAAGGATCCTGTGACACTCTTGTTCTTCTGGAATATTACAATATTAAATACATTGAAGGAACACAGAAATTCTACCAGAGGACAATCACAACTGCTAAAGAAGAAACTGAGAAATTTGATTTAGAAGCGTAAGTTCCTTTGCAGAACATCAAGGAATGGTAGGTTACTAGCTGAAAACAGAAATCAAGGAATCAGGGTCTTGTGCTTTCAGGAATACTTTATTTAAGTACATTTATATATGGGCAACATGACACTGAAAATACAATAGCCAAAGATGTATTAGAAAGCCCATGAGATAATCCATATTAAAATCTCTGAAAAATATAATCTCATTCAAAATATAAAATAGATTCTTTTCCAGAATAAAAGAAGTACAAACAAAAAAGAATTCCACAAATAACACTAAACTATATTTTATTAAAAACAAGCACATCAGTATGGTATAAACCTTTTTTTTTTAAGTGTTTCAACTTCTAAATGTATTTTCCCATTGTCACAGATATTGGGCAATCTAATGATGAGTGTTACTGAAGGTCCTTTCATTATTTTTCTTTTAGTGGATTCTAGCTCAGAATTCATTCTCGACTTCAAATTTTAGGTGAGAAAACAAAATAAAAATTGTATAGAAGTTTAAAAAAGAAATGCATGATGATTATTTTGACACAATATGTCAAAGAGGATGTGCAGGTGTATATAAATTTCAAAATAAAGTTAAGAGTTTCACTCAGAATTTTGGCCTATCTACTTAGCTGTTCCTTTTTTCTTATTGAAATGACTCCCACCTCCCCCCTTCTTTTTTTCAGATGGAGTCACTCTGTTTCCCAGGCTGGAGTGCAGTGGCATGATCTCAGCTCGCTGCAACCTCTGCCTCCTGGGTTCAAGCGATTCTCTTGTCTCAGCCCCCCGAGTAGCTGGGACTACAGGTGCACCACCACGCCCAGCTAATTTTTTGAATTTTCAGTAGAGACAGGGTTTCACCATATTGGCCAGGCTGGTCTCAAACTCCTGACCTCAGGTGATTTGCCTGCCTGTCTGCCTTGGCCTCCCAGAATGCTGGGATTACAGGCGTGAGCCACCATGCCTGGCCAAAACCCACTTTTGAATATAAAATTCCTAGCCATGTAAATAACCTGATATTAGAGAAATTTTTTCCACCTAGTAAAAAAGTCACCAATGAAGAAGATTCAAGTCCCTAAAATAAGTACAAAACTTTATGATTCCATGCCACTATTCTTTATCTAATTTTTGCAGGTACTCATTATTTGATGGGTGATTATAAAGAAACAAAGATGATGGTAAATTAGTAATTGTGGTTGGAAAATAATGCCAAGATTTCTTAGGCATTCTTCCAACTCTATAACAATTTGGGCAATAAATTTCCAAAAATGACAGTATCTGTCTTGCATGAGTATATCTTCTATAATTATAGACTTGAACAAGAGAATGCAAACCTATTAGTTAAAAATACACCATCTCTCCTTGTTGATAATTCTAAGTGAAAGTATTACTATATGTTAGAATGTACCAGCATTTGATTTGATAAACACCCGAAAATAACTAATCATTCTGAGAGAGATAAGGCTAAATAAATTTATCTGGTAATAAATGCAGTAGGCCACAAAATAAAAATAAAAATCATAAATGTAGGAAAGATATGAGATTACATTATTGGTAGAAAATAGCATCATAAACTTATAAAACTCAAAAGAATCCAGAGAAGCATAATAGAATTACAAAGTCAGTCCAAGCAATTGGAATGTGTTAAGATAAAATTAGAAAATCAATGGCATCCTTATCCACCAACAAAAACCAGATTGAAAAATATAATAAAAATATACAAATCCTTGGAAGTATTGAGTGAGGGCTATAGATAGATAGATAGACAGACAGACAGACCAATATATGTATACAACAGGAATAACCTTAATAAAATATGCTACCTCTAGATGAGTTTCTCAGAAAATTTAATGAGAGTTATAAAAGATGAAAATATATAGAGTCATGTACTATATTTCAAAGTAGGAAGCCTAAAATGTGTTAAAATATTGTTCTTCTAAAATGAAATTTTAGGTTTCACACACATCTATGGATTATTCAATGGAATATATTTCAGAACTCAACATATTCTAAAGTTCACATAGAAAATATTTTTATGCTGTTCAACTTTTTATACATTATGAACTCTAAAATTGGACTGTGTTATACAATCAATAGAATGTCATAGTTTAGTTGACAGATTTTTTCTTAGTTTTACATAGACACAGAAATCTAGTTATAAAGCAAACTAGAAAATATTTTCTAGAGGAGAAACAATTAGACTAGAATAGTGGGAATATGATGACCATTTATTAAAAACTATAAACCTGAAAGATTAAAACAAGTGTAAATGTGTGCTAGACAGAGAGAACACAAAAGCAAAACACCTAGAACATATATTAGGATTTTAAGCCTAGTAAATGAAGCATTATAATTTAATTGGAAAATGAAGGGGCATTTCACAGAACATGTTGGAGGAAGGGCTTCTCAGGTTGCAAATAAAACTTAACATCTAAATTATATTGCAGATGAATTAGTTAAAATATATTTATATCTTTATATAAAGTGGACCAAAAATACAAATAGAAATAGAATTATTATTATTATCATTTAAGACAGACAGTCTTGCTCTGTCACCCAGGCTGGAGTGCAGTGGTGCAATCTTGGCTCACTGCAACCTCCGCCTCCCAGGTTCAAGTGATTCTCCTGTCTCAGCCTCCCAAGTAGCTGGGACTACAGGCACACACCACCACTCCCAGCTAATTTTTTGTATTTTAGTAGAGACAGGGTTTCACCATGTTGCCCATGCTGGTCTCGAACTCCTGAACTCAGGCAATCCACCTGCCTCAGCCTCCCAAAGTGCTAGGATTACAGGCATGAGCCACCACGCCCCACCTTAGAAATGGTTTTTACTTCAATAATGAAGATAATTTTAACTATTTGGAAATGAAAAGAAACTGCGGAGAAGTATCATACCTTTTTCTGCATGCAGTGTTTATGTTTTTTTATTATGACACTTCCATATGTATGGAAGACTGTATATATTCCCACAGTTTAAATAATAAACACACCCCCCTAGCTTTATAAAAAGTGTGTTGCCAGGAATCAATGACACTTGGATGCCTTTCTAGATCTCGTAATCTCCTAGAGGCAAAGACTTCTTTGTCTAATAACTATTCCCTTGCATTCTTTAATAGTTCTACATATATAATGGATCTTCATTACTCTCAGATTCCACATTTGCAAATTTGCCTACTTACTAAATTTTATTTGTAATCTCTAAATCAAATGTCAGTTCACTTTTGTGGTCAACTGCAGACACGCGCAGAGAGTGACAAATTTGAGTCGCCTGGCACACATGTTCCCAGGTGATGTTGAACAAGCAAATGTTCTGCATTCTTGTTTTGGCTCTCATGCTGTAAACAGGTGTCCATTTCACAACCTATTTCGTGCCAAGTTTTACATATTTGTGTGGGGCTTTACTATTGGTGATTGTGCTGTTTAAAAGGGCCCCACGTATAATGTTAAAGTGCTGTTTAGTGTTCCTAAGCATATGGGTGTTAGGCAAGTTTCCTTCCTGCATGAGTTATAGTGTTGTTGACTGTGAGTTCAATGTTAAACAATTAAATCAAACACATAAAACGAGGCTATATATTGATTAGTTGACGAAATGCTGTGACCAGAGGTTCACAGAGCCTAACTCTATAGGCCAACTAGGAGCAGTGTTTCACTAATTGCCAATTCATTATAGGAAAATTCATAGAATATTAAATACTGTGATTAATGGCAATCCACTGTACCTATTTACAAGTCAACATAGTGCTCAGTTGTAAATGTATCATTATTTTTATATTTATCTTTTAATATATGTATTCTGTAATTTGCTTGTTTGCTAAATATTTTTGTGACGTGTCAAGGTTGAAAGATGCAAGTTATTATACATTAATACTATTGCATAAACCTTTGATTTGATATACTACATTTTGTATATTCAATTAACTCTGCTACAGAAGAATGAAACTGGACTCCTACCTATTACCATATACAAAAATTAACTCAAAATGGATTAAAAACTTAAATGTAAGACATCAAGCTATAAAAATCCCAGAAGAAAACCTAAGAAATACCCTTCTCGATATTGCCCTTGGCAAAGAATTGATGGCTGAGTCCCCAAAAACAAGTGCAACACACACAAAAATTGCTAAGTAGGATCTACTTAACACAAAACACAAACTAAACACTAAACACAAGCTAAACACTAAACACAAACTAAACACCGACTAAACAGAAAAATTGCTAAGTAGGACCTAATTAAACTAAAGAGTTTCTGCACTGCAAGGCAAACTATCAGTGGAGTAAACAGACAACATACAGAATGGGCAAAAAATATTCAGAAACTATGATTCTGACAAAGACCTGATATCCAGAATCTATAAGCAACGTAAATCAACAAGCAAAAAACAATCCCATTAAAAAGTGGGCAATGGACATGAACAGACACTTCTCACAAGACATTCAAGTGGCCAAGAAACATGAAAAAATGTTCACCACTAAGCATCAGAAAAATGCAAACCAAAGCCACCATGAAATTCCATCTCACACCAGTCAGAATGGTTTTGTTAAAAAGTTAAAAATACAGATGTTGGTGAGGCTGCAGAGAAAAGGAATGCTTATACACTGTTGGTGGGAAAGTAAATTAGTTCAGCCACTGTGGAGGGTCTTTTGGAGAATTCTTAAAGAATTATAAGTTAAACTACCATTTAACCCCACATTCCAATTACTGGGTATATACCCAAAGGAAAATATATAGTACTACCAAAAGACACAGGCAGTCAAGCATGGTGGCTCACACCTATAATCACAACACTTTGGAAAGCTAAGACAGGGTGGTTGCTTGAGGCCAGGAGTTTAAGACCAGCCTGGGCAACATGGCAAGACCCCATCTCTACAAAAAATTTTAAAAAATAACTGGGTTTGGTGGCACGAGCTTGTAGTCCCATCTACTTGGGAGACTGAGGCAGGAGAATTTCTTGAGCCTAGGAAGTTGACACTGAAGTGAGCCATGTTTTTACCACCACACTCCAGCCTGGGTGACAGAGAGAAATTCTGTCTCAAAAAAAAAAAAAAAAAATAGACACACAACCTATGTTCACTAAAGCGCTATTCACAATAGCAAAGACATGGAATCAAACCAGGTACCCAACAATGGTGGATTAAATAAAGACAATGATGTGATACACAGACACTATGGAATACTACACTACCATAAAAAAACTATTTCTTTGGCAATACCGCGGATGTAGCTGTAGGCCATTATCCCAAGCAAACTAACACAGGAACAGAAAACTAAATACCACATATTATCTCTTATACCATTGGGTATACATGGACATAAATATAGGAACAATACACACTGAGGAATCCAAAAGGGGGCAGGGAAGGAGGAGGTCGAGGGTTAAAAATCTTAAAAAACTACTTATTGGTTACTATATGTACTTCCTTGGTGAGAGGTTCAATTGTACTTCAAACCCCAGCATCATACAATATACCTTTGCAATCCTCAAGGCCTAATATCCCAATATCTGCACATGCAGACCCAGAATCTAAAAGTTGAAAAAGAAAAAAATAACAATTATTAATGTATTAATTAATGAAATATGGTGCTATGTTTATTAACTTTGGATTATTTCTAGATGTTTGCAAATACAAAAAATATTGCTCTAAAAACTTTTGCAGCTACAATAAGTTTCTCCATGCTGTATACCTAGGAGTGGCGATGCAGGGTCTGAGGTTTTTTGTATATTTAAATGTGTGAATTTATCAATAGGTGGTGTGTTATCATTATTCAAAAAAAGTCAATAAAATTGCAAGCCAATGCTATTTCCCTTTACCTGTTATTATATTCATGTGGCCTAAATCCTAATTATCCTGTGTGATTCAGAGAATGAAAACATCAGATCACTTGGAAGCTGGTTAAAAATGAAGAATATCAAGACATACACTATTGAATCACTATCTGTATTTCTACACAATCCTTATTCTGTCATAATTCCTATGTGATTCATATGCACATTACATTTTTGGAAGCACTGATATGAATGACATGCTAGATATTCTTTTCAAATTTTAGAATCCAAAGTAGAGCATGCTTAACATAGGACACATACTGGAAAATATAAAGCATGGAAATGTTTGATTTACTATTTCAAAAAATCTAAAATACAGTTAATAAATATAAAATGTCATGTTCCATGAGATGTTGTATTAATATAATATCATTTAATAAACTGTGATGTTATTGCTTATAAGCTACATTATACTTTTAAAATATCATACTATATGTAGTATTTTATATTATTTTTCTTACCAAATATGCAAATATTCTGTTCATCACTGTGTTCATGTAACAATCTGATATATGAACAATATTTACTATTCCATAAAATTAGGAATTAGCCAGGCCTAGGATAAAATCTCAGTTTTGTCATTTACTAGTTGTGAGACAACTAGTTAGTTGAGCAATTTTCTTTTTCTGTATAAATTCCAATTTCATTTTCTAAAAAATGGTAATAATGCCCACTTCATGGAATTGTTGAGAAAAATAAGAAAGATAGTATATAAAAAACAACTGTCAAACTAGGAATCAAAACTGTATTTACTTTCCCTTGACTTATCATACAAAGCAGTCAAAAGTTACTTTTCCTTCAGGATAAAATTAAGATTAGACTAATTTATTATTTAAATTATGCATTGCAATGAATAATCCCCCAAAGTATTCTGCGTTATTTTTTCATAACCAACAAATATATTTAATCAAAACATACAAGAACAACAAAAGAAGAAGAATTAGGGAAAAAAAGATTTTCACTTCTTTACATGTTGTCCTTATTTTTTTAAACATCAGAATATTTTTGCAATAAAATCAGTTATAATTTCTATGATAGCTAGATGATAGCTAGAGAAGACTGATTACAGGTTTTTTTTTTTTTTTTTTTTTTTCCTCTTGAGACAGAGTCTTGCTCTGTCACCCAAGTTGGAGTACAATGGTGTGATCTCTGCTCACTGCAACCGCCACCTATCAGGTTCAGGTGATTCTCCTGCCTCAGCCTCCTGAGTAGCTGGGACTACAGGCACGCACCACCACTCCTGGCTAATTTTTGTATTTTCAGTGGAGACGAGGTTTCACCACGTTGTTAAGGCTGGTCTCAAACTCCTGACCTTAAGTGAAACGCCTACCTTGGCCTAACAAAGTGCTGGGATTACAGGCGTTAGCCACCGCAGTGGGCATGGTTACAGTTTTGATTGTTAAATGAACAGGCACTATTTCAGTAAGAAACAAAGAATATAATTTATTGTGATAAAGTCCTGTGATATATTCAGGTATTTTAGACAAGAGCTTTATAAGGAATTGTAAAATAGTCAAGTATTTTACAAATATTATTTGGACCCAATTCTTGCCTCTTCCTGTTTCTTCTCAGTCTGTCTGGTAGCAGCTTTCAGTAAAATATCTTAACATATTGATTTAGTATTGTCACCTACTTGAAGTAACAGAGCAGAAGAGATGCTGAATATATTGTTAGCATATATGCATAACTCTATAATAGCGTTCTGTTTTAAGGGAAGGGTAATTTCTTGCACTTGTCTGTACTATCTAGACATATCCACAGTTATTAGAAACATCAAATGAGACTATGCCAATTTCACTTAATAATTTGACCAGCTTGACATCATTTTGGTGAAGGCAGTACAGTTCATCTCTTGATGTGGTTTTATGACTACAACATAAAATTTCTTCCAACTGAAAAAAAACTGAAATGTTGCACGTATATGGCTATGCTTAGCCAGTCAAAGTATCTGACTACTTCCTGACCTAGTGCACTGTCTCTCGAAGTGTAGTTCTTTATCACCTGTATTGTCGCTGTGCTTGTTAAAAATGCTCATTCCTAGGCTTCAACCCAGACTTTCTGAAACTGAAATTTTCAAGACTTATCCTTGAAATATATACTTCCAATAATTTTCAAGTACTCACTAATATGGCAGTTCTGAACAATACAAGTTGTCAGTGAGATAATTTGGTTCCTCTGTTGAATTATTTCAATGGTTGCATGGAAAATGCCATTAATTTTGTCAATTGATTAGAACTTAAAGAAGAGCCAGCAGCTTCTCTGTATGCTTTTAGAGCATACAGAGATTTAAAAATAAATCTTATTCCAATTAGATGTCTTATAATGCTAAGGGTTTTATTCTTGAAACCCAGTGTTTTGATTTGCTTTGTTTCAAAGGGTAGAGGGATTGCAGAAAAAAATTTAAAAAAAGAGAGCATATTAGGGAACTACTGACCCTCTTTGTTGTGTGACCAGCATTAAAAAGTAATGGATTTTGTTTTCGGTTGATTTATTTTTTTATTCCAAGGCAGAGATGTTTAAGGGTTATTTAAAAGCTTCAGAAATGTAGAAAACTTATTCTAAGTCCTTAATTCTACTGCTGCTACCCTTGCTGGAAAAAGTGATATGTATATCAGGAAATAAGAGGAAACTTTCTTATCCCTATTTTGTCCTTCAACAACCTCCAGAGGCAAAAGTTGTTTTTCTCTAATATTGGATTTTAAAGGACACTCTTTATTTTATAGCTCCAGGTTGGTTTCTACTCCTAGATATTTTACATGACCCATGGTAAATTAGACTCTAACCTGTGCTGAAGGACAAACTATAACTGTGTCTAATATCCCAGAACTCTATTCCCATTTTGGAGTGAATACTTTGAAACTGTCTTAACACAGTCCTGTATTAATCCTTCAGATTGATGATTAGACAGTATATTATGGTATCAAACAGTTAGACTTTGGGATAAAACAAACAAAGTTTTATTTAGTTATTTAAATAGTTATTAGCTGTTTAACATTAGTAAATTTGCTTAATTTATGGATACCTGCTGTATTTTCTGTAAAACTGAGGTAAGACTGTTCCATATTATGGAGTGGTTCCAAGAATTAAGTGAGAAAATACATCAATGAATTTAGCAAAATGATTGATATATAAAAAGAACCAACAAATATTTATTACTAAATCAGACCATATTTTGTTATCCATTAAAATAATTAAACATGTAAAAGCATCTTTTGAGAAAAAGTCAATAGTAGCATTGTTTCACCTAAAAATCACGTAAACAGTAAAGTTCAGAACACAGCGTTCTTTTAAATGAGAAATACGGCAGAGAGAAAAGAAACATTATCTAACTTCACCTTTTAGAAAGTAATTGAAGTCAAATTTCATGGTAACAAGCATTTACCTACTATTCAGGTGCACACTTAAATATATAAAACCTAACACCTTGTGGTTAGGCAGATGTTATTCCCATGTTGTTTAAGGTGTCATGGACCACTTTGTATATGTGAACAGTGGGAACACTTACTTGTAATTCCTAATAAATTATTCATATTTAACTTAATGGTGAGTGCATGCATGCTACTCAGTAAATGCCTTTTTGAATGAATTAATGATCAAATGATAAAGCCATTAATTATTGCATAGACATGTCACCTTTGAAAAACTAGCTTTACTCAAAGATTGATCATATGTCTATTTTTTTAACCAAGTAACTTTAAAAAGAACCCAGGAAATATTTATTTTAATTAGAATTGTAAGTGAAAAATACAACCAATGAAATTTTCTAGCACGAAATATTGAAAATACCACAAACCTGTAACAACAAAAAGTATTCAGTGTATTTTCTTATTAAAAGCACTATAAGCCGGGCAGTGTGGCTCACACCTGTAATGCCAGCACTTTGGGAGGCTGAGGCAGGTGGATCATGAGGTCAGGAGATCAAGACCATCCTGGCTAACACGGTGAAACCCCGTCTCTACTAAAAAAAAATACAAAAAAATAATTAGCCGGGCGTGGTGGCAGGTGCCTGTAGACCCAGCTACTTGGGAGGCTGAGGAGGGAGACTGGCATGAACCCGGGAGGCAGAGCTGGCAGTGAGCCGAGATTGTGCCACTGCACTCCAGCCAGGGTAACAGACTGAGACTCTGTCTAAAAAAAAATAAAATAAAATAATAAAAGCACTATAAGCCACATATTGATTCCTTAAAAGATAAATGACAATATCCTTGTACCAACTGATGCATCCAATTAGCTAGCAAATAAACAAGTTCCTTACATAGAGCTTCTACATCATAAGAGACGAATAGGAAAAGTGTGAAAATGAACTTAAAAGAAAAAAGTTTACTCAGATTATCCCAACTCCCAGTCCAAAAAGAATATTGCCCAAAGAGACATTTCTCCAATCATCACTTTAGTATTTAAAAAGTTGAGATTTTAGTGCACTTATAATTAAACTACTTTTTTTTAATCCAACAGTCTTTGGACAGCAGCATATCATTTTGTCAGAAATTTGGATTTCATTTCTCATCAGCATGCCCACATACACACACACACCTGCACACCGAAAAGGAATCTGAAGTTTGTAAAAAGGTTAACATCAGTGTAAAGAGCAAGCGCACTTAAATAATTCAGAACTTATATAAAAACATCTACACATTAGTAACATTTTATTTAAAAAGAAAGCAATCAACTTCCATTGCAAGAAAGTGGAAATAGATTTCTCAAACATCAATGCTAAGTAAAACCAAAAACCCTGCACATTATATACAAAACAAACATAGTAAGGCTCTGAAAGTTGGGAAGAAGGCTGACAGCAAAGGTCCATGGGACCTAAGAAACAACACAGTGGGGAGTTTCCTGGGTTTTTATTTTGCCACATATAGCCCAGACACAGACCTTAAGAATTCCCAAAACATCAAAACAAAACAAAACAACCCACAAACGCCCTGAAGGACTAGGGAAGGGGCAATCTAGCAAGACAGGAACATTTTAGATATTTTCTATACACCTGCTCAATTCCACAGAGAAAAATGTGACCCCACCCTTCCAATGCCTGCAAAGGCCAAGTGGGGACCTTGAACTTGGACCCTCGCCAGGCTATATGTTGCCTACTTTCTTGCTAGGGTGGGGTAGGAGAGGGCCTAATTAGGAAGCTTCAATTTTCAGCTTTACTGGGCAGTAACAAGGCTATGCAGTGAAGACTATGTGGGGAACCTGGATTTCTACCCTCATCCAGCAGTAAGAAGGTGCCCCTCTACTTTCATGCTGGGTGGGTTTCAGAGGAGACCTAGTAGAGTCAGAGCTTTCTACAATCAAGCAGTAACAAGGACAATACCCATGGTCTCAACAAGATCATATGAAGAGAAGTAACAAGGTATTCCTACCCATCACAGTCAAGATATTATCCATGGAGGTCTAGTGGGAAGCCAGAGCTCCCACTCTGGCACTGAATAATGAAGAAACCTTACCCCCACTGGTGTCAACAGAGGCTGAGTGGGAAACCTGGACTTTTATTCCACACCTAGCAATAAGAAAGTGGCACTCTCCCACTTCCTTTGCTACAACAGTGTCAGAGAAAAACAAATAATACCAAGTATTTTGGATATGTTGCAGAGTTTTGTAACATAATATCCAGAATAAAAAATTATCTATCATACTAGAAACAAAGAAAATTGCGAGTTGAATAAAAAAGACACCAAAGTGTAGATAAGAAAGAGATGTTAGAATTATCTGACAAAGATTTTAAAGCAGTATCGTAGTCAGTTCAGTTTGCTATAGTGGCTTCTAACCAACAAACATTTGCTTCTAATAATTCTGGAGGCTGCAAAGTCCAAGATCATGACATTGATAGATTCAGTGTCTGGAGATGTTCTATTCCCAATAAATGGCACCTGCACACTGCATCATACACAACAGAATGGGCAACGCAGCTCTCTGGGGTCTCTTTTACAAAGGCACTAATCTCATCATGTGCACTCCAACCTCATGATCTAACCAACTTCCAAAGGCTCCACCTCTAAGTACTGTCAGCCATCCATTCAACATATGAATTTTGGGGAACCACAAACATTAAGACTATGGCAAGCAGCCATCATAAAAACGCTACAACAAGCAAATATGCACATACTGGAAACAAATTAAAAAACAGAAACTTTTAGCAATAAAATATTGTCTCAGTAGAGAAATATGACATCAGTAAGAACCAAATGGAAATTTCAAAACTGAAAAAGACACTAACCAAAATGAAACACTCAACAAAAGGTGTGAACAGCAGAATGGAGGCTACAAAATAGTAAATAAGTGAAGATAGGAATAGAAATTACTCAATCTGAGCAACAGGCAAAAAATAGACTGCAAAAAGAAATGAACAGAATCTCATGGACCTATAGGAAGTGTATTAGAAACCTGCAGATTTAAAAAGCTTTATTTTAAACAGGATAAACACAATAAAATCACTGCAAGACATATTACAGTCACACTTGTGAAAACTAAATACAGATAAAATAGCTTGAAAACAGTGAGAGAGGAATGATATCTTACCTAGAAAAAATTCAAACGACATTGGATTTCTCATCATAAACCAGAGGGCCAGAAATAAGTGGCACCATATGTTTTATTATTATTATTTTATAACATAAAGAAAATATTTAAGGCAATTATATGATAAGGTAAGTAGAGGGACATAAAAGGGGGTAATATTTGTACAATGTATATTTTATTCAAATTGGGAAAATATCAAACCAGTTGATTATGACAAATTATGTACACCCATGCACTGCATAAAAACATGTCAGTCAACAATGGACTGCATTAATTACAGTGGTCCCATAAGATTATAATGGAACTAAAAATTCCTATCTCCTAGTGATACTGTAGCCATCATAACATCATAGTGCATAACATCATAGTGCAATGCATTAAACACGTTTGTTAGTGATGCTGGTATAAACAACCTACTGTGCTCCCAGTTGTATAAAAATATCACCCATACAATTATGTACACTACATAATACTTGAAACTGATAAGAAATAACTATCTTACTGGCTTATGTATTTATTATACTATTCTGTTTTTCATTATTTAAGAATGTACTCCTTCTACTTGTTAAAAAAAAAAAAAGTTAAATAGCCTTAGGCATGTCATTCAGTAGGCATTCCAGAAGAAGGTATTATCATAGGATATGACAACTCCTTGTATGCTACTGCCCCTGAAGACTGTCCAGTAGGACAAGATGTGGAGGTAGAAGATGGTGATACTGATGATCCCAAACCCCTGTAGGCCTAGGCTAACGTATGTGCTTGCGTCTTAGCTTTTAACAAAAAGCTGAAAGAGTAAAAATTAAAATAAATTTATCTTTAAGCAGAAATATGCTTATAGAATAAGAATATTAAATAGGAATTTTTTGGTACAGTTGTATAATGTGTGTTTTAAACTAAGCATTATCACAAAAAAACGAAGTTTAAAAATAAAAATTTCATAAAGTAAAAAAATGAAAGTAAACTAAGGTTAATTCATTACTGAAGACAAATCTTTTTATAAATTTAGTGTAGCCTAAGTATAGAGTGTTTATAAAGCCTACAGTAGTGTACAGTAATGCCCTAGACCCTCACCTTCACTCACCACTCACTCACCAACTCACTCAGAGCAACTTCCAGTCCTGTAAGTTACATTTATGGTAAGTACCTTTTAGAGGTGTACCAGTTTTTATCTTTTATACTGCATTTTATGGTACATTTCCTACATTTAGATCTCTCTAGATACACAAATACTTACTATTGTATTACGGTTCTTTATAGTATTCAGTATAGTAACATGCTGTACAGGTTTGTAGCCTAGGAGCAATAGGCTATAAACCATACGGCCTCATATAGCCTGAAAATCTCCAAACATCTGGAAACTAAATGGCATACTTCTAAATATTTCATTGATCAAAAAGATAGTCTTTAAGAAAATTTTAAAATGCACCGAAAGTAACAAAAATAAAAAGTTAACATATCAAAATGTGTGAGACAAGGTTAAAGTAATGCTGAAATGGAAGTGTATAGCATGAAATAAGCACATTAGAACAGAAGCAAAAATTCCAAGTCAATAATCTAAACTCCCACATTAAAACCTAGCCGGAAAGGAACACAATAAACCCAAAGCAAGCAGAAGGAAATAAATAGCAAAGATTAAAGCAGAAACCGACAAAAGTTAAAAGAGTAAAACAAAAGAGAAAATAATTGAAACATATTACTGATTATTTGAAAGGAGTAATAACACTGACAAATCTCTAACAATATGAAAAAAAAAGACAAGATAAATTACCCATATAATGAGTGTAAGATACATAACCATAGACACCGCCAACCTCAAAAGGTAAATAGGAAATCAAGAGACAACTCCACATAAATAAATTTGACACTAAGATATAATATACCAATTTTTAAAAAACTACAATAATTTACCTAAAATGAAATAATTTGAATAGTCATATAAGTATTAAGGAATTTTAATTTATAATTTAGCCTCCTCCCTAACAAAAAATCTCCCAGCCACGATTATTTCACTAGAGAATTCTATCAAAGTTTTTTTTTAATAATAGAAATTCTACACAATCTATTCCAGAAAATGGAAGAGGAGAGACACTTCCAAATTCATTTTATGAAACAAGTATTACTCATGTATCAGTCAGTGTAAAAACTCCTGAGACAAAAAAGCAGCAGAGAAGAATTACATGTTGATTGAAATGTTCTGTGTCTTGACTGTATCAAGGTCAATATCTAGGTTGTGATATTGTACCACAGTTTTGCAAGGTATTACAATTGAGTGAAACTAGGTAAAAATGTTATCAATCCGTATCATTTCTTAAGACAGCATGCATGTTAGTCTGTTCTCACACTGCTATGAAAAAATACCCGAGACTGGGTAATTTACAAAGAAAAGAGGCTTAATTGACTTACAGTTCTTCGTGGCTGAAGAGGCCTCAGGGAACTTACAATTATGGCAAAAGTCTCCTCTTCACAGGATGGCAGGAAAGCGAATGAGTGCTGAGCGAAGTGGGAAGCCCCTGATAAAAACCATTAAATCTCACGAGAACTCACTCACTATCACAAAAACAGCATGGGGAGACCGCCCCCTTGATTCAATTATCTCCACCTGGTCTCGCCCTTGACCTGTGGGGATTATTACAATTCAAGATGAGATTTAGGTGGGGAACACAGCCAAAATGTATGTCCTGAGGTAACTCAGATAACTGAGTTACTTCAATTAACTCAAAACATTAGGTTGGTGCAAACATAATTGTGGTTTTTGCATTGTTGAAATTTGCCATTTAATACTAGAATACATTCTTAAATAAATGTGGTTATGTTAAACATATTTTAATGTGCACTTCTCACTTTATGTTCTTTTGCAAATGACTTATTACTTGCTGTTTATATTTACTTTAGACTATGGAAATGATGTTAGATGAAAAGCAAATTCCAGTGATTTTCTGATTTGAGTTCAAAATGGGTCGTAAAGCAGCAGGGACAAATTGCAACATGGACAATGCATTTGGCCCAGGATCTGCTAATGAACATATAGTGCAGTGGTGGTTCAAGAAGTTTTACAAGGAAGACGAGAGCCTTGAAGATGAGGAGTGTAGTGGCTGCCATTGGAAGTTGACAACAACCAGTTGAGAGCAATTATCGAAGTTGATCCTCTTATGATTACACGAGAAGTTGCCTCAGAACTCAACGTTGACCAGTCTATGGTCATTCGGCATTTGAAGCAAATTAGAAAGGTGAAAAAGTTCCATAAGTGTGTTTCGTCAGGTGAGTGAAAATCAAAAAATTGTCGTTTTGAAGTGCTGTTTTCTCTCATTCTACACAATAATGACATTCTTTTAAAAGGCCTTTTTATAACAGTCCATGTAAAGGACTAATGTCTACCATTTATACAATTATTGAAAGAATTGCTTGATTATATCTTAGAAATAATTTTATTTTATCCTCACCTTGCTCAAATGTAGATGTCAAGGATTTGAAAAATTAAGTACCTGACTGATAGCAGAGGTACAAGTCATCCAGTCATTAATTGCTTCAACAACTATTTAGTGCCTACTACATGGCAGAGAGTGTAAACTATCTGGCCTTTTACGAAAAAAAAAAAAAAAGTATGCTGACCTTGAACTAGAAAAAGAAAAATATTTAGTATACTTTGAAAGCAAGTAATAGAGGAAATTACTGAAACTTTAAGAGTAAGTAAGCCTCATTAACACAAGTATATGGAGAATATTAGAAGTGGCAGGTATTGGTATGATTTTCAGAAAATAGAGATTTATAGATATATATTTATGGGATAGAGATAGATTTAGGAATAAGCCATGAGATTTAACGATAGGGCTAAGGAAATTTTTTAATTTAAAGAAATTATAAACTAAGTATCTTGGAAGATAATAGCGTCCTTTGTACTCTGCCTTGTTTTTTAATTTTTTTGTAATTCTTTATTTTGTCTTCATTTTATGAGCTCAAGAATCTCTACAAAAGATACATTAGTAATAGCAATCAATTTCGATAACAATATTAGTTCAGAAATATTTTCAGTTTTAATTTAAAGCGGACAGAATCTCAGAATGCATGCTCTTGGGGGAAATAAGTTCCTACTGTTGGTATTTTCTAATATAAGTGAAAATATATTGGAATTAGTTGTAAGAAACACAACATTAATTTTAAATTTTCATGATATATTTATGTTTCCTTTCCATATTAATAAAGTACAGGTCATTTTACTTTGATATCCATTTACTTCAAGTCTATGCCTTAGCTACAATGGTGCAAGTAAATTTATGTAACAATATAATTTATTTTCATCTTTATAAGTACATTTAGGTAAATGTGCCTTATACAACTGTAGAGAATAAGTGCCCAAAGATACAGTTTTACTATTTTGAATATTATATAGCTAGACATGTGAAAAACAGACAGGTATGGCTTACTAGCAAAACGGCACATTCATTCATTATTTATACATGCAAAAATATTTATGGAGCATTCCTTGTGTTCCCAGTACTCATTTAGGCATTGAAGATGCAGAGTTGTACTAATTATAAAGGGCCACAAGGAAACATTCAACTGTGCTGACTTTGTTCCTTACTCTGTCGTGATGCCTTCATGGGTATATAAAATATCAAAGCTTATCAATTAAGACAATTTCAGTATGTGTATTTTAGTGCCTATATGTTAACTATACCTCAATAAAGCTGTTAAAATATCCCTAAACTATAATTGCTGAACTGCTGGAGGTCAGTATGAACAAGTCTAAGAGTTAAGAACTATGGGGGAAGGGGCAATCATAAGGGGTCCCCATGCTTTTGTGAGTCTTACCTCCAGGAGCTTGAGCAGGTTATCACAGTGAATATTGGAGAAAAATCCCCTTATGCTTCCAATAGTGGGAGGGGAAAATAAACCATTTTGATTTATGCCACAATATTCTCTTCTTCTTAGCAATTCTTGTCCTTAAAAGAAACTATTTTACTAGAGCCTAACTATTGGGGATTTTTATCAGAGCCTTACTGTCTTGGGGGAAGAAAAATACCCTACTTTAAAAGCTTGCTTTAGCTTTTCATGTAAGGGAAAGGAAACATCTAAATTCAGCCCACTCTAGCCAACCTGCTCCAGCCAAGGGACAATGGAGTGAATGGAGAAATGGGACTGAGAAGCACTTGTAAAATTCACAATGCAGAGATTCAGACCCACTAAAAGAATGAGACCTAATCATAGGACTGTAGAATGTGTTCCCTCCTACCACATCTTACCACCACAATACTAAAGGACTGTTAATCACAGTTTCTGTTACCTGGTACATCATCTTTGGCTCTCATGAAGAAATTACAAAGTATACCAAAAGGCAAAAAAATACACTTTGAAGAGACAAAGCAAGTATCAAACTAGACTCAGATATGATAGGGATGTTGGAATTATTCGCTTGAGATTTTAAGATAATGATAAGTGACATGTTAAAGTCTCTAAGGAATAAAGTAGACAGCATACAAGAACAGAAAGGTAATGTAAGCATAGAGATGAAAATTCTAAGACAATATAAAAAAAGAATTGCAATATATAAAAACACTCTAATGGAAATGAAGAATGCCTATGATGAACTTATCACCAGACAGAACAAAGGTGAGGAAAGAATCTCTGACTTTAAGATAGCATTGCACACCCTATATATTTAGTTTTCGGTAATTTATATAATGCTTCAGGAATACAAAAAATATTGTTCTTAATCACAGTTTTTGTAAGACAAAAGTAAAATTTTGCTAGAATTCATTCTCATAATTTAACCAGAATCTTTAAATGTTTAGGAAATAGAAATATCTGTATTAAATAGTTGTGATGACAGCAAAATTTGGGTGATAAGCATGCACACGCACATATAAATATACATGCACATACTTATATACATATATATGCCCATACATAAACATATATATGTACATATACTCACATGTTGGTAAATGCATGTGTATATGCATATTGTTGGGGAAACATAAACATTTTTTGTCAACCCATAAATCCTCTCCACAAAGGCAGTGAAGAAAACACTTTTATTATTAAATAAGCATTAAATCAGTATGTGTTGCATCAAAGGTAACCTACTAAAAGACAAAAGAAATCTCACCTTTTTGTATAGCCAATCAGATAAAACCCATTACACACATGTTTTCAACATAAACAATAACTAGTCCTCAGGTAACAGGACTTGACACCAGCATTTATCACATATAGTTCATCTAAATTTATTTGGTGGTAATTGGGGTGACCATCTGTGTTAGCTGATTGGGTTTATCCAGAGGAGAAACAAACTTCTCATATCTTTATAACAAAAGGTAGTTATACAACTTGGAACAAGGTTTCTGCCTAAGTTAGGTTTCTACCGTCCCACAAAAATTAGGAGATAAGGATAATATTATCTTTGATGTTTATATTTCAAAGAAATGTCTCCCAGGTTCCTGAGAAACACATTCCTGAATAATAAATCTGATAAAACTTCTATTTAGTGACCAAAAGGGATTGTGTACATTTGAAAGAGAAGAAAGTATACGAAATTATGTGGGGTTTTGTTTTTTGTTGTTGTTGTTGTTGTTTGTTTGTTTTGAGACGGAGTCTTGCTCTGCCACCCAGGCTGGAGTGCAGTGGCGCGGTCTTAGCTCACTGCAAGCTCCACCTCCCGTGTTCACGCCATTCTCCTGCCTCAGCCTTTCCAGCAGCTGGGACTACAGGGGCACGCCACCACGCCCAGCTAATTTTTTCGTATTTTTAGTAGAGACGGGGTTTCACCGTGCTAGCCAGGATGGTCTTGATCTCCTGACCTCGTGATCTGCCCACCTCGGCCTCCCAAAGTGCTGGGATTACAGGTGTGAGCCACCACGCCCGGCCACAAATTTATGTTTTCTGAAGTAAATGCTCTAAGAATGAAAAAGGAAGTGGAATCTCTTCCCTTATTTTCAACAGAGAATGTCTCCTGGTTTTAATTTGTATTTGCCCTTATAATATGAAAATGCATTTCCATGTGTGTACATGTAAATGCATGCATGTTTTCCTAGTCTCCCTTCAATCTTTATTCTTCATATTTTTAGTATCTTAATTGGTACCTATTAATCAGGATTGTACCCTATACTTTATCTTCCATTGCTGACATCAAATTATTTTCCTTTTTTATTCAAATAAAATATGCTGCCTTAAGTGATTCAGCTTATTCAATTGCATATTAATAAAGCTGCTAATTAAGTCTAGCACATACTATCATAAATCAATACTTGGTAATTTTTTAAAACTTCTAATTTACTTTAAAATAAATGCCCATATTGCCATCATCTGAAATTTACACATGATCTTATTGGTTTCAGAGATTTCGATCTATCTTATATATCTCTCTGAAAATACATCCACATTTAGCAGGAAAATTGCCCAAGAGAGTCATGTGCTCATCACCAATCAGATGCAAATCACTCCTCACAAACTAATTTTTTAAGCTTTTCAGAACACAATTTCCCATTCCAGAGTTAAAAGCAGAAGGACAAGGTAGAAAAACTAAACCAAGACCAATTATCCAATTACCTTTACCTTTAGGAATCATGTATTTACTTTGCTAAAGGTTTTATTCCTCGCTGCTTCTGTCACTTTTTGTAGACCTGGTGGTCAGAGACTATATTTTCCTCTATCAAATACATTAGTTTAATATATAAAATAAAATAGAACATAACATATACATCAATGACAGATATTTTTAATGTTTTTTTGTGAGCAGGCCTAACGTAATTAAAATTTCAATATTAAACACCTTCAAATCAAACAATGGTTGAAAACTAATCTATATGTCTTATAAATTTGTTTCTTCATTATTAACCTAGGCTTGGAGCTTAATAAGCCTTCCATAAATATATTGACTGAATGAATGATTGATGGTATTATCTAAAATCTAAAATGTCATGAGAAGATTTTGTTAGCTGCGTAACATAAAATTGCCAGAATATTTTCTGCTCTCCAGCTTGACAGCAAGACCATTTGTATTCATAGGTAGAAGAACAAAAATTAATGTCACTTATGTAAACTTTGCAGATTTAAAATAACCAATATGCTTTTAGATGGCTAAAAATTCCGTACTTTAAAAAAATGTATACTTTTAAAAGGACTAAGAATGAAAATCCTTCTATGTCTAAATATGCCTATGAGTCTAAATAGCAAAAGCAATTTCAGACCAAGAACATGTAATCTTTAGTTAGGATTATGATTATGACTAATTCTTCATTCTTTTGTTCTTTCCTGGTGTTACCAACTGGCCTAGCTTCAGAATGCATTTTAAAACTTTTTTTCTTGTCTCTGGTCTTAGCCTTGAAATGTACTTTTAAACCTTGTTTCCCTCCCTTCCCAACAAACACTCTCTTGCACTGTGCTAACTTATCTAAATATATGCTTGCTTGGAGATTGCAGGGGCTATTCCTGAAATAAACCAGGCCTGGAGACTCAGCTGCAGAATTCTTCCCCATCTAGGGATAACCTTAAGGTGGTTAATCTACAACCCAGCCATTGTTAAGATGGCACCAGTCTGCATTCCAGATTAACAATAACTTAAGATAGCCATCAGGACAAGACATATAGAACCTGCACCCTGCCCCACTCCTTCATTTTCATTCGAAGTTTTCTTTCTTAAAACCCCTCACTAAGCCTAAAATTTGAGATGGTGTCTTGGAGGCCTTAGCCTGACCATCTCCTCAGCCACTGGCATTTGATAAATAAAGTTGCTTTCCTTTCACCACAACTCACCTCTTGTATATTCAGCTTCTCAGGCGGTGAGCAGCCAGACTTGAGTTCAGTTATACTAGTAATTTGGTTCTCTAATGCCTCCCATCTGGCTGTTTACCCAGGGGCTTGGAATTATCTTATTTTATAAAGTCAATTACTTCTTTGTCCTGAGGAGCAACCCACCCTGACACCATCAACTGAGCCTCATAGAGAGAGACTATTGAGCTAATTGAACAACATCTCTAGTGGTTACTAGTGATTTAATGTGCTTATTTTCCCAAATAACATATTTGCATCTTAGTAGAAAAATAGAATGTCTTAGTGAAGAAATAAGAACTGTAATGGTTTCAGCTAGATTATGAATGCTAATCTACTTTAAAGTTCCTAGGAAAGATATAATTGTGTTTATTGAACAGAAAAATGTTACTCTTAATTATTTCAAAAATGTTTGGGGAAACCCATTCCTTTGCGTGGTCATTCTAATTAAAATGTGGATCCAAACATCTAGGCAAAAATTGTTTATTCAGTCAAGGCCAAATAACATATAGGAAGTAAAAATTTGGGGGGAATAAAGCTGTATTCTAAGCAATTAGTAGTTGAGTTAAAGTTATCACTTATTTATACATGTCTTTTCATTCCTGATTTTCAATTTTATCAGTTCCTTTGTTCCACTTTTGTAGACTCGTTAAAATTGACATACAATGAATGTGATGTATTTAACAGTTGTAGTTTGATGAGGTTTGATATATCCATAAACCTGTGAAACCATTACCACAAACAACATATTCATCACCTATCAAATTTCCATTTGCTGTTTTGCAATCTGTTCCCCTTCTTTCTACCCCATCAAAAATTCTCTGATATCTACTGATCTGCTTTCTCACTAGGGATTATTCTGCATTTTCCAGATTTTCCCCAAACTAGAATCAGGCAGTATATAATAGGTTTGACTAAATAATCTTACTCAGCACAATTATTTTGAGTTTTATTCATACTGTTTTATGTACCACTAGTTTATTCCTTGGTGTGACTGAGTCGCATTTCATTGAATTAATATGTTGCAGGACTTTCTCTTTAGTTCAGCTAAAAACCTGGTTCTTGTCACACCACCAGGAAAGATGAGGCTCACAGACACTTTGAAGCGTGAGGGGGTTACAGAATCTAATGGGCAAAAAGGTAAAAGGAAAAACAACACAGCAAAGTGAGAGCGGTTCCTGTTAACAGTCCCCCACCTCACAGATTGAATCCCAGGTTACTTCACAGGGTCAGGAGAGGCCAGGCTCCTCCCCTCTGCAAATGGTGTGAACTTCCCTAGGCTCCACCCCATCCTCCCACTGTGTGGGCCAGTTGAAGATTCTGCAGGGAGCCCTTTTTATTGGATGTCTCATTTCCTCCCCTGAAGAAGTACATCCAACTGCCATTAGAATAACGTTAAAGACAAGGCTAAAGATTGATCTTAACTGCTTCCTGCTGACAGGGGGTGCTGTTTTGGGGAAAACGGCAGATCTCCCTCAGAGGCCTATCTACAGGTTCTCAGCAGAAGAGAACATCTTCTGAGGCTCCAGTTACATGACAATTTTGAGTCTGATGGCTTGAAGGTGAGATTATTAGAAAATATGTATCAGAATGAAAGAAGGACAGGGGTAGGGTAAGAAGAGCTCAAAAATCCCAAGGCTTTTTACTAGTTTGCACAGGGAGAGGGGGGCTTTAGACCCAACTTGTAAAAAAAACCTTTACCCTTTTGCTGGTATGTTGGGCTTCTGGGTTCCCTTCCCCTGAGCCCAATCCTAAGCCAACCAGTTTAAAGTTTGGGAAATTAATTCTTCTCATTTTGGATGATGCATCTGAGAGGAGTGTCTTATAGTATGGAAACACAATTACCTGTCAGTGAAGAGGAGATAGAAGAGAAGAAAGGAAAAAAGAAGGAATTTTTTTTTCAAAGGAGTCCAGGGGTTCAGGATGCATTCAAAAGGGGTCCAGACTGGAGATGAATACTCATTTAGAAAGAAGGGAACAGGCATCCTGGTTCCTTTCTCTTGCTAGCAAATACCTAAGGCACATGAGGGAAGGAAAGTCAGGCATTCCTTCTTCTTTCCTCTCACCTAGTATCCCCACTCTGGGCAACTGCAACAGGGTGCCCATGGGTGTCAAAGCAGCTTTCACCCATGTTAACAGGAGGGCCTGGGTGTGGGAGTATCCACTCTTACCCACGTATGCCCTATCTTCCCTGCAGTCAGTAGCCTTGAATTACCTAGACCTCTTTTATGCCAAGGATACTAGCATGACCTTTATTCATGAAACCATGAAACAGAAAGCTTGGCTTAATGAGCAGGAAACAGCCATACTCACCAGCACTGTGCCTTTTAACTTTCATTATAGTTGGCCTCTGGATCCCCGAGATCCAGTTTTCTTTAGTAGGGCTATGACCTGAAGCTTAAAATTGAGTTTGGGACAAAAATGTGTCTCAGATGGGGGTTGCATGGACTACTTAGCATAAGCCAAATGTTAAGGTGAAGCTGAGGAATTTAGTCCTCCTCCAACAAGGGAGAGAAAAGAATGTCTTGTGACATGCCAGCCCAGATAACTTGTAGCTATAGTTATGTTTGCTAAGATTTGGATGCATGGTGCTTGGGCTTTGGTTAGTTCCCTTGGTCTTACTTTCCCAAAAAGGAAACCTCCATGTAGACACCCTACTTATTCCCTTTATCTGGCAGGATTTGCGTGATAATTGCTCAGAACTAGAATATTGACCCAGATTTCTACATTATCCATCTCTTTTGTTCTTTCTGAGCTGCAGCCAGAGATTGCTGGTTCCTTCACAGGAATAAGTAGGATTCATCTAAAAATGTAAACAAAAATATAAAAACAACTAATGAATTTAGAATTTAATGACAAATGTATAAGTTTTGAAATATAATTTCTGTCTCTCCAGTCCTCATTTTTGTTAAAAAACAAATAATGATAGGACTGAGTTGTTTTCAAAATAGACTTTAGTCTTATACTTGGCCTGATTATTTATGAAAAGTCCAGCAAGAATAACTATCTCTACATAGGCCTTTTAGATTGACTTTGTCAGAACTCTGTTCCACAAGGAATCTCAGATACGACCTTTTAAAGCCAAGCCCAGCCATGCATTTTTATTTTTAAATACCTGTGAGTTCAGTGATCCTCTCCTCTTAAGTTTCCAAGATAAGCTTGGAGCTCTTGGGCCTGTTAGAAAGTGACATTTTTTACTGACCACAGGTCAGAAACTCTGCACAGGGACTGTGTAGATAAGTGTATGAGACCAGTTTCCCCAAGGGGCTTTATATCAGCTCTGCAAGTTGAGCTTGACTCCTTAAAGGGAAGCATACCCTTCCAGTCAAAGACTTGGTAAAACAACAAGTTTCTCCAATTGTGGCCTGTTGCAAAAGAAAACGGATTCTTACGACTGGACGCGGTGGCTCACTCCTGTAATCCCAGTACTTTGGGAGGCCGAGGCGGGTGGATCACAAGGTCAGGAGATCGAAACCATCATGGCTAACATAGTGAAACCCCGTCTCTACTAAAAATACAAAAAATTAGCCGGGCGTGGTGGCAGGCACCTGTAGTTCCAGCTACTCAGGAGGCTGAGGCAGGAAAATGATGTGAACCCAGGAGGTGGAGCTTGCAGTGAGCTGAGATCGTGCCACTGCACTCCAGCCTGGGCGACAGAGCGAGACTCTGTCTCAAAAAAAAAAAAAAAGAAAATGGATTCTTATTGCTCTGGTGCAAACAACTATATTGCTATCAGTTAAGAATACTTACAGATATTTTTCAAATTCTAGAGGAACCAGGCAGAGAGAAATAAACATGCTCCAAATTTTGTTAACAGGAGTATAACTTACTCAATTATTAAAGGCTGTAAAGAGTTCAAAATAAGTTTTCTTGACTCTGAAAAACAAAACAAGAGTAAACAATATTTCAAGCAAAAGTCAAAAAGGTTGCTTCAGCTTTTTGGGTTCATTCAGTTAGCTCTTGTTTTGCTTGATATTCATGAACATTTCACATCTTCATGAGTCCTGTACAGTTTTATTTATTCTAATGTCACAATCCTCCAAAGTTATCAAAAACCTCTATTTGAGTGCATCTGTCAATGTTCTACAGCTTATTATCAACCATCTTTTGAAAAGCATTAAACAGACAATAATTGTCTGTTAATAACAAAATTTCCAGGGTAGTTCCAGTTAGAAACACAATTGACAAACAAGTTTGGCTATCTCCATGTTTACAATAACTTAACCTAATAACTTTAATTATGATTGATAGCATATACTTTAGACATTAGAATTTTAGAAATTCCATACAATTTTGGAACATATATTAGTATCATTTACCAAGATATAGACTAAAGAAGATTGAGTACCATTTTGACAATCTCATGTACCTAAATATGTCAAATAATCCTGTTTACCTCTCTTTTCTGGATACTCCAGGGGCCCTTTTGAAGCATATGAAAAGACAGGTGTCAGGAAAAACAATTATGAAACTAAAGTTTAATTTCGAGAAGTCTGTTAAATATGTTAGAGGTTTAAAACACTTGATGTTATGAAACAGAATTTCAAATTACCATGCTACTTATTTTGCCAAAATGATGACTCAGAAACTTAAAAAAGCAAAAACCTTTTATGACCCTTTACAGATTTTGCTAAAGAGCAGATTAGTGCTTTAGGAGAACCTTGCTGTGCTTTTATTTTAATGCTCAATATGCAGAAAAACCACCTAATATCCTTTTGAATTTAATCAATATGTTCACATACAGAATACAGTCAATATGTTCATACAGAATTTTTGCAAGATTAATTTTTACAATCCTTCACACACTTGTTTGAACGTTTAGCTTTTTATCTTATCTAATTTAAAACAATCCTTTAACCCTAGGCAACAATTTACATTTACATGGCTTCTTACAGTCTTTTACTAAAAACACATTTTACTGTCCTTACACAACTTTCATGTACTCCCAATTACATGTTCTAATGATAACGCCTAGAAATTTTTAACTTAATGTAAAACCTGGTAAGTTGTTTTAATTATGTTCTTGGTGCAGCCAATGTTTGACTCCTTCCTGTATAATTAAGGGTGTGGTTAGTTCCATATGTTTCCAGGCCTTACTAAGATGAACAGTTCTCAAAACACAAAAAGCAGTTTATAACCTTAAAACATTTAGCCAACCTAATATCTGACCTGCATAATTCAGTCCACTTATTTATATTTTGATGACATCTGCTTTTTACCAATAATTTTTAAGGCTGTTTTTATTTCCCAAAGATTAAAGTCACATGAATGGAAAGGTACCACAGCCTTTATCTTCTCTTTAAAAAATATTTGATCAAAGTGTTTATCTACCTTTAGATCAAGTGATTAGAGCTCTTTTTACAGATATCACGCACACAACACATAAATAACTACACAGGCAGAAGAAAACCCAGTCCCCATAAGAATTTTCATTTGTTCATCTCCTTTTTGGATTAATAGCCTTTGGTGCTTTTAATTTATGGGGTTCCATGAGGAAAATAGAGGTCTGCCCCTCTCATGCATGCATTAAAAGTGGCAAGGCAAAATCAACAAAAATAATTCAGTCAACTGAGAAAAAACCTTTTTCCAGCAAAACAGGATCCAAGAAAAGAAAAACCAGAAAGAACTCATTCCCTAAGCTAGGATTGAATCCCAGGCCATTATTGTAAACTGCCAGAAGCTAGAACAAAATATTGCCACATGGTTATAGGTCTTACTCCCAAGGACGTAAAACAAGATGGAGGCCTGCAGCAAAATTTGCTATGGACCATACAGAAAGACACACAAAGCACGTCAGATTGGCTACAGTTTAAGATCAGCCTCACAAATCCTTTCTCACAATTAAAACTCTACAGATGATATAAACAATGCTCCCCAACATTCCTGGCCCAGCTAAACATCTTCTAAAAGGAAAAAACCTCCTTTCAAAGTTAACTGCTGACAAGGTGGAGAAGATAAAAGGATGCCGGGGTCAGGGGGAAGAACCTCTTATTCTTATGCAAATAGTTCCTCCACTAGCAAGAGACATTAATTTGCTGTGGGATGGAGCTGGACTCCCTGGCTAGGGAGGAAGAGACTCCATGGATAGGAGGTAGAGATAACTAGCCAGCCATGTGGGGCCCTTGGGCCATGCATCCTAGCCCTGCTTGGGGTGCAGGGAAGGTGGCAGGAAACCACAGCTTGCTTGCTCTACCATGCTGAAAAAAAGAAGGAAAAGGCCAGGAAAAGGCTGGGTTGGACTGAGGCAAACATTTCCAATCCCCAGGAGCAACAGGGAGTGGGGGCACAGTTTCATCTACCTTCAGAAGTTTGAGGAAAAAAGTGCTTAGGAGTGAAAGAAAAAACAATTTTTTGTTTTGTCTCTTACTCACCCTTTCTCAAGCCCCACGTTGGGTGCCAAAAGTGTTGCAGGACTTTCTTCTTAGTTCAGCTAAAAACTAGGTTCTTGTGACATGAACAGGAAAGATTAGGCTCTCAGACATTTTGAAGGGTGAGGGGCTTATGGAATTTATTGGACAAAAACGAAAAAGGAAAAACAATACAGCAAAGTGAGAGAGGTTCTTGTTAACAGGCCCCCATCTCACAGATTGAATCCCACGTGACCACACGAGATCAAGAGGGGCCAGGCTCCTCCCCCCTGCAAATGGTGTAAACTTTCTGATGCCCCACTCCATCTTTTAAGTACTCAGGCCAGTTGGAGATTCTCCAGGGATCCCTTTTTACTTGGCTGTCTCAGGTAGTCATTACTTTGTTCATCTAGTCACTTCTTGATGGAGATTTGTGTAATTTTTAGTTTCTAGCTATTTCAAATAAAGCTACTGAAATGTATATAAAATTTTTTATGAATATATGCTTTCATTTATCTTGATTGACTTATCTAGGAGTAGGATGCTTGTATCATATGGGAGGTTCATGTTTAGCTTTTTAAAAATAAACTTTTAATTTTAAAACGGTTATAAATTTATAGAATAATTGCAAATTACTGCAGAGTTTTTTATATACCTCATACTCCTGCTATTATTAACATCTTATTAGAATACAGTACAGTTGCCACAGTTATTAAACTAATATTGATACAATTAGTAACTAAAGAACCAAAGTGTTTTCAACCTACTACATACATGTTCTCATGATAAAAAATAAGTAAGCCTAGTGTAAGACTTGACAGCACCATTTGCCACACATACCTAAATTCAGCTAATAGGCTTTATCCAAAAGAAAAGTTAATCCATATTTTTAAGATAAGATACAGTTTTGCAAATTTGAGTGAGGTGAATGCCTATGGTAAACTCTTAAACTCCCTCAGAAACTGAGAGATGGGGGCCCTGTCTTCCTGATTATTACATTTTAAAAGGTGGTTCCCAGATGTTTGAGAAAGACATTCCTGGGTTGCGAAAATATTGCCTCCCAGCAAGGAGAGATCTAGCTGACGATATTTGCCCAGCGCAGGAGTTTAGTGTGTTGTAGCAGTGGAAGCCACAGCCTCTGGCAAGAAGCTTATTTAGCTTTCAAAAATACTTACATACATTTAAAAGAGACAGGAAAATAACTTAAAATTATAAGTTTACTAGCTTAAATGTTCTACGAAAAGAGACGAGGCAAGGAATCTCTTCCCTTAATTTCAAAGGGAAGAATTAAACCTCATTTTTAAAATTTGTATTTGCCCTGATAATCCTCACTGATAATGTGTCCCAGTTTCCATCGATTTTTGAGATAGAGGTGTTGAAATTTCTTACTATAATTATGGATTTGTCTTTTTCTCCTTGCGGTCTATCAGTTTTGCTACCAATATGTTGAAGTGCTGAGACATAAATGCTTAAGAGTTTTATGAGTTTTTGATAAGTTGACTCATTTTGAATAAGAAATGACCTTGGTAACAGTCTTTCTCTGAAATATACTTTGTATCTTGATGATATGCATATTCTAGCTTTCATTTGATTAATACTAGAACATATATGTGTATATATATATATATATATATATATATACACACATATTCTTAAAAACATCTTTTGAAAGTAACTGGCTATTTAAAGCAAAATCAACAGATGGTTGATGTTAAAAGATGTTAAAAACATCTTTTAAAAAGATGGAAGTGGAATGTTCTGACTTCCACTGCTAGACCAAACTGAGCTCTTGCTCTGGGCAAATATCATCAGCTAGATCTCTCCTGCTGGGAGGTAATATTTTCACAACCCAAGAATGTCTTTCTCAAGGATCTGAACAAACTGAAAACGTGTGTGTGTATGTGTGTGTGTGTGTGTATATATATAAATAATACACACACGTACATACATGTACATATGTATATATGTATATATGTGTGTATATATGTACATATATGTATATGTGTGTATATGTACATATATGTATATGTGTGTGTATATGTGTGTATACATGTGTATATATGTATATATATGTATGTATACATGTATATATGTGTGTGTGTGTGTGTGTGTGTGTGTGTGTGTTTGTGTGTGTATACAGGTTTTTTTTTTTGAGACAGGGTCTCACTCTGTTGCCCAGGCTGGAGTGCAGTGACATGATTATGGTTCACTGCATCTTTGACCTCCAGAAAACTGTATATTTTATTTTTATTTTGCCTATACCATTTGTTTCTTCTCATTTAATATAGGTTTCCCATAGGCACCATTTCCTGGTAGCTTTCACTTTTACCCAACCTGATAATTTGGGAAGGATTGTGATGTTTAGTCCATTAACCTTTGAGGTCATTATTAATACGGCTGGTTTTAAATTCACTAATTTGCTATTTGTTTTTCTATCTGTCTTGTGTGTTCTTGTTTTCTTCTCTTCTGTTTGTCTTTTTAAATTCACTGTATATTGTTCAAATTCTACCTTATCTTCTTTTTTGTCTATTAACTACTTCTCTCTTTTTTAGTTTTTCATTATTTAGTATTTGATTATTTTGGTTTTTAGAGGGCTTATAGTCTTAAGTTTAGCTTAAGGCTGCTTCTTTATATATTTTAAAGAGTTCTCTGTACACGGTAAACTGTAACCTAACTGAATGTGTAAGCAGACTGTAACCTACTCTTGTGCCAATCACTGAGTTTAGACCAAAGGCAGCCAACTGTTCAAACCTAGATCGAATAATTCAAATGCCAAGATATAACTAGCCCAGCTGTTTTGGTACCTAACTTCAATTTTCTATGTGTCACTTCCCTTTGTTTGTCCATAAATCTTCTTACAACATGTGGCTGTGCTGGAGCCCCTCTATACCTATTCTGGTTCAGGGGGTGCCTGTTTTGTGAATCATTCTTTGCTCAATTAAATTTAATTTATTTAAGTTTTTTTTTAAACAATAGTAACACCTTTAACTTACATTTGTATATTGCAAGTCATATTTTATGTGTCATATACAAAACTTAAACTCCTACACCTAAACTCATCCCCACTTCTTGTTCTTTGGGCTATTATATCAATGTATAATATTATTTCTATGAATAGTATAAATCACAGAATATATTGTCGAGTTTGCTTTAAATAGCTAGTTACTTTTAAATGATGTTTTTCAGATAAGAAACAAAATTTTTAAAATATATTATACAGATAGTTATCATTTTTATTCTTCATTTCGTTGTGTAATACCAATATCCCTACAGTAACTTTATTCTTCTTCCTGAAAGACTTCCTTTAACATTTCTAGAGGTGAGGGGCTGCTACTTTTGAAATGTTTTAGCCTTTTTAAGTCTAAGGTAGTATTGTCATCAAAATATAAAACGTATTTCAAATACAAATTGAAACATTTATTTGTTTATTATGGTCACATATTTTGAACTTTGTAAAGTCCAGTTTTTTGGTTTTAATCAAATTAGAAAAAATACTATTATTTATTTAAATACTATTTCTATTTCCTTCTCTCTTCTTTGGGAACTCCAATAGCACCGATATAGGCAATCAGAAATTTTCCTATGACTCACTAATACTAGTTTGTCATTTGTTTATTTTTAAATGTGGATAGTTTTTATTTGTATGTCTTCAAATTAATTGACCTTTTCATTTGCAATGCCTAATCTTCTATTTACCTGAAATGTCAAATCTTAGACATTGTAGTTTGCATCTGTGGAAGTTTGATTTGGACCTTTTTCTTTCTACCATATCTCCATTTAGTATACAATCCTTTCTCAACCTTTGTGAATGTATAGAATATATTATAAATATTTTACTCTTTTTGTCTACTAGCTCTATCGTTACTCTACGATCAAAGTTTCTTAATATTAACAGGGTTTTTTCCTCATATGGGTCATATTTTCTTGCATCTTTGCATTCTGACTTTTTATTGGATGCATTTTATGAATTTTATCTTGTTGAAACCTGGATGTATTTTATTTTTATATTCTTTACCTATATTTTGCAATACAATTAAGTTGCTTGGAAATCATTTTTTAGTTTGTTTTTAACATTTCTGGGATGACACCAGTAGTCTTTGGTTTGCTTTTTCTCTCATTACTGAGGCAAAACCATTTGAATTAGTCTCCCTAAAGCCCTATGAGAAACAGTGTGTTTCACTCTTACTGGTGAGTAAAATTTTCTCAGCTCTATTTGAGCTCCAGGTATTGTTCTCTTTGTTCATACTGGTTACTTTTTTTTCCCAGCCTCATGTAGTTTTCTTAAAATCCAGTAATTCACACTTGGCTGAAACCTCAGAAGAAATACTTGCAAGTCTCTGTGAAATTTTCTTTCTGAGAAACTTTCTAACTGACATGGCTTCACTGCATTCTCAGCTTTGTTACCTTAACTTAGAGAGTTCATTGGATTTTTCCAGGTTTTCATCTCTCTGATGCAGCCTAGAAATTGCTTTCTATTAGTAAGCCTGTACAACACTAGAGATGCAAATTTTTTTATTGTTGTTGTTGTTGTTTCTGATATAGGTACAACTGATTTAACTCTACCCCAACCATCATGGTAGAAGCCAATTTTGTAAGTATTAACAAATTCATTTGAGCATTTGTGATTGCCTTTATATGTATCTATTCCCTGAATTTTCTTTTGAATGAGTTTTTTTAACACCTGTGTTTCCTTTATTAATTGTAAAATAAAATAGTTGAAATGTGTTCATTTTATATTAGAAAAATACATAATTTTATATATTATAAAAAGTATACTTAAAAAGTGTATGTGTAATAATCCAGTGGGTAGAATTTTCTTAGATATTTTCTAATTGATGGATATTTTGATATTTTTATTTTTGCTATTAAAAATTTATCACACTTATTTCATGCTCTATTAGTCTGTTCTCACACTACTATAAAGAACTCCCTAAGACTGGGTAATTTATAAAGGAAAGAGGTTTTATTGACCCACAGTTTTGCATGGCTGGGGAGGCCTCTGGAAACTTACAATCATGGTGGAAGGGGAAGCAAACATGGCCTTCTTCACATGGTGGCAGGAGAGAGAAGTGCCCAGCCAAGCAGGAAAAGCCCCTTATAAAACCATCAGAGATCTCATGAGAACTCATTCACTATCACCAGAATAGCATGGGGGTAACTGCCCCATGATTCAATTATCTCCCACCAGGTCCTTCCTACAACAAGTGGGGATTATGGGAGCTATAATTCAAGATGAGATTTGGGTGGGGACACACCCAAACCATATCACAGGCATGTGGCTTATTTATTTTTCTATTTCAAAGCTCTTATTTGGAAAACATTCAAAACATATTCAATAAGAGATGGTCATTTTTTTAAGGATCAAGATTAAATTGCTTAATTGGGGCTTTATTTCTGAGTACTCCACTTACTAGTATAGCTGACCACCTGTAATATAAGTTGTTAGTTGCAGTAATTTTTTACTATGTATATAATTATATTTTTTAGAACTTAGTGCGCCTATTATGGGACTTCTTAGATAAAGCCTTTAGTTGCATATAAATATTTTATTTTCAAATTGTTGTTAGTAATAATAGTAACTAGAAATTTAACAGATGTCCGAGTCTGCTAATTTAATGTTTGAAGTGAGTGCTTCTGTAGGTCCTACTGGTATTAATTTATAGGACTCTGCTATAGTCACTTTCTTTTTTATGGCCTCAATTAAGATGATATAAAGTCACCAAGGGCATGTATGGCATAAAAACTCAT
Organism: Homo sapiens; assembly: GCF_000001405.40. Classification (NCBI taxonomy): domain Eukaryota; kingdom Metazoa; phylum Chordata; class Mammalia; order Primates; family Hominidae; genus Homo; species Homo sapiens. The sequence goes on from NC_000009.12 coordinate 103,137,857, forward strand.
TTCTAAAGTTAAAAATAAGTAGTAAGTACCACCAAGTGAGTTCCTGTGCATATGTGTCTGTGTGTGTGTGCTTTTAAGATTTAGTAGAGAAAATCTCCTTTAAATAAGAAGTACTTCTTTACCTTTTATTTCTAGTAGTAGGTCAGAGAAATCACATGAGAGAAAATGTTCTTCAGTGTCAACTAATTTCTTTCCATTTCACAGTCATCACATATTGATTTTAAATAATATAATTCTGAATGTAATTTCACCTCACAATGATAAATTTATTTTATTAACATGTCTACCAATATGCCTAGCTCCAATTGAAACTCCATGATTGTAGTATTGTTATTTTATTAGGTTGGAATCCAATTCAAATAAAGCAGGACTGATAATCTGTGCTCTTAATGTAAACAAAAAATTTGAAACTTGAACTTTACCTAAATTTACAAATGGAAACCATGACACTGAGTTATATTCTAATGTTAAGAAATAAGTTGATTTATAGACCCATGAAATGATGACCAATTACATATAAATGTATTGGTTCTTATGTTTACATACTTATATTAAAACAATTTATGGATTATCTCTTGTGTGTCAGGTAAAATATTGGTAGGTGGAAATAAAAATATAAGTACAATATTTTCATTGCTTTAAATACTTTTCAGAAATGTTGTATTAAAATAGTCCCATATAATTAGAAAATGAGAGCATGTACTCTCCAGAAGCCTTACAGAAGGATTCATAATTAAGCACATATTTACGTTGATCAGAAAAAATATGTAGATTAACATTTCTGAAGTGAAGGTGTAAATTTCAGGCAGAAGAAACTTTCAGAAGTGGAAAAATTCATCCTGTGATTGGGGAAGAATTCTAGGCACTGTCTACATAAGTTTTGCAGAGAAATAAAGAAGAGCCAATAGGATTTGATGCACCAGAATTGGTTTTATATCAAATAAAGCAAAATTTGTGCTGTGTATAATAGTATTTTGGGCTTTTTCCACTGTGTATTTTTGGAGAGTTGAAGGAAATGATTAAATCTGCAGGACTGATTGCAGAGACAAAACAGAAGCAGGTAGATAAATCTGGAGGCTTTTACAATAATCTTAATAAAAATTATATTATTACAGATTCACAGAATAAAGTGACTGAAAGGATCAAAGAACTTTCACAGTTGAAATTTTAGAATCAATTGGGAAGAAGAATTTTCTGAAACTTGGTAATTTATATTAGGTTCGACTTTTCATCTTGTCCTATCAAGCATGACTTTATAAAAAGATACATTTCAACTTTAGTTATTATATAATATTATGATGGGAAGTTTTCCTATCTCAATAATTATTTTCACTTTTTAATTTTAAAGATTTAAAATACTTTTAATAGCTAAATATTTCAATTGTCTGTCTAAATTCCCATCTAGTTAGGAATTCAGAAAATTAGAAACTAAATTTCCCAGATTCCCTTGCAAATAATACTCTAGATATTTTTTTACATGGATCAACTCTTTTGAGATTTAGAAAAAAAATCAGGTAAAGGCAATCTCCCTGTATTTTGGCTATTATCATTGGTTACAAAGGTTGTGGTAATGTGCTCTTGTGTTTCTTGGTGGCCAGAAATGGTAATAACATATTTATATGTCAGAAGAGATCCAGCAGTGGCTACGGAATTAGCAGTGTCCCTAAGTTTTAGACTCTGTTTGTTCTGGGAGTCATATGAAAAACCTAGAGTTTAATTTGGTTTCATAATTATTCCATTGATTTTTAAATAATTCTTTGTATGTTTTTAAATTTATTTTTGTTTATAATATTTATAATGGCATCTGTTTCTTGCAATAAACAATCAGATTTGTGTTAGCAAAGAAGATAACAGGAAGTTTTAATTCAATATTCTTGTAAAGTTCACGATAGTCTACACCTCAAAACTAGTTTGATGTGGAATTTTAAAACATTTCATTGGTATATAAATAACGTTGTCACATTCGCTGTTTTAACATATACAGTATATATTAGTATACTGTATATTCACAAGATTGTACAAATCATCACCAGAATACAAAAATTCAAGAATGTTTTCATAATTTCATAAGAAATTCTGTACTGATAAGCACAATTTTTAATTTCCCCCTTTCCTCATCCCCTGGCGACCACTAATCTACTTTCTGCCTGTGTGAATTTACCTACTCTGAAGATCTCCTATAAATTGAATCAAACTATATGTGGCCTTTGTGTCTTTTTTTCATGTTTAGCATATTCAGCATTTTACTGCTTTTTATGTCTAAAAATATTATGAATATACAATATTCTACTTGTCTACTCATCAGATAATAAATATTTTGGTTATTTTCACATTTACGCTATTATAAATAATGCTGCAATGAACATGCTTTCTGAGGACATATGTTTTCAATTATCTGAATATATACTTACATGTGAATCACTGGATTATATGATACCTTTAACTTTAAAGAGCTGCCAAACCATTTTCCACAGTAGCTGTACCATTTCAAATTTCCACCATCAATTTCTTTGCATTCTTATCAGCACTTGTTATTATGCACCCGTATATGGAAACGTTGAAGTAGACATGAAATTTACAACACAATGTTTGATATAGATAGGTGTATATCTGATTAAAATGAAGGCTGATGAACAAAAGGTAATGAAATAAAAAAGAAGTCAAAGTTTCATATTTAAAATTGTGCTCAAATAAAGTTTATTAGTTTAATTTCCAACAGATTAAGAATGTATGTTTAAATGTAATAATACATGTGCAGAGCTTTATGTGTGTCCATATACTTCAAGCCAAACTGATTTTTGGTGAATTTGTCTCTTTATAAAATACACAGAAATAGAAAGAAAAGCACTGAAAATTGTGGACTCCTAGTAATAATCAATTAAGCAATTAGCATTACATTACATTTTCCTGTCAGTTTGGCGAGCGTATTTTTCACCACCGAAGATAATAAAAAAAAATCTTAATTTATAATGAGAAATTATAAAATCTGTCAGATGATCTAGAATATATTTACGTAAGATATGAAGATTTTCTTTCAACAATAATGACATAGGAGAAAAAATCAGTTATACATTTCCATATTTATTAAATATCTTCCTATTACAAAAATTTCAATTTCTGCTTTAAAAATATTAAATTTCTCATAATAGCATAACCCAGAGGCAAACATTGTCATTATTTTAATTAATATTTCTAAGAACGTGGACTTTGGAATCTAAGAGAGTTAAATCCTGGCTTTGGCCCTTTAAAGCTATGATAAATGTTTCAGGTGATGGATATCCCAATTACTCTGATTTGATCATTACACGTGATACACACATATCAAAATATCACATGTATGCCTTAAATATGTGCAACTACTATGTATTCTCAAAGAATAAACATTAAGAAAAGTTATGATTTGTAGATGTTAATTTACATTATTTTGATTTAATATCCAATTGGTAAATAGAAGATTTTATTTATACATTAATAGGATTATATGGAAAAACAGAATATTAGTTATAAGGGGCTTTAAAACAATAAATTTCAAATATCAGTTTGACAATGTTTCATGGCAATTCTTATTGACTACACATTAATCTAGATTTTTTCTTTTTATTTATGTCATGTTATATATCACATTACAACAAAGTTGTTCTTTACTTAATATTTTATCATCCGTATTGTCTCAGAAAATTACAAACTTTCTTAAACATTATTTGTTGGCTGGCTAATATTCTATATTTGGAAAATAATTTGCTTAAGTATATAAATGCCTTTTTAAAATATATGTATGTGCTTTCAATTTACTGCTTATAAAGTTATTTCATAGTAAATATTTGTCAATTATTTTTCTTCCTATTTCTGTGTGTTTTATAAACAGACGAACTCACCAAAAGTAGATTTGGCTTGAAGTATATGGATAGACATAAAGCTCTGCATATATATTATTACATTTAAACATACATTCTTAATCTCTTGAAAATTAAACTAATAAACTTTATTTTAGCACAATTTTAAAATTACAATAAAAACAAGAGCAGATAGTACAGAAATTGCCATATAACCTCCCAAACTCGTACACATTTCTCCTATTACTAATGTCTTTCACTGGTGTGGTGCATTTGATACAATTAGAACACCAATATTTACATATCAATAGTAACTACAGTTCATAATTTACATTAAGTTCTACTCTTTCTCTTGTACATTCTATGTGTTTTGACAAATGAAAAATGTCATTTATTATTATTATGGTATCATGCAGAACAGTTGCAGTGCCATAAAAATCACTTGTGCTTCACCTATGTATTCCTCTCACCAGCCACCCTGCCCTCTAACACACATGCATACCAAACCCAAGCAACCATTGATCTTTTTACTCTATTGTTCTGCCTTTTCCAGAATGTCATATCTTTCATATAGGAGTCATATAGGATTATATAGTATGTAGCCATTTCAGACTGACTTCTTGGTCTTAGAAATATGCATTTAAGGTCCCTTTATATTTTTTGTTCCTTGACAGTACATTTTGTTGCTTGATACGAATTTATGGAGGTACTAAAGGTAAAACCCTTGAAAATGTGAGGGCTTCCCTAGGAAGATTGTTTTGGCTGGGGACCCACACCCGTAATCTTAGCACTTAGGGAGCCTGAGAAGCAAGGATCACTTGAACTCAGGAATTCAAGACCAGCCTGGGCAACAGGGCAAGACCATGTCTCCACACACAAAAAATTAAAATATTAGCTGGGGACTGTGGTGCATGCCTATACCCAGCTACTTGGGAGGCTGAAGTGGGAGGATAACGAGATCAGGAGGTCAAGGCTGCAGTGAGCCTTGGTCATGCCTTGGTCTTGCTCTTTCACCTATGCCACCCAGCCTTGGGTTGAAGAGCAAGACCATGTCCCAATTTAAAAAAGAAAGAAACTTTAAATAACTATATTTGAATCATTTGCATAGTCATGAATATTTTAAGTCTGTTTTTAACATTTTTATTATTGATTTGTACAATTAGAATCAGAATAAGCAAAAAAAAAAAAAATCAAAAGGCAACAAAAAAATCTACATAGGCCAGGTGTGGTGGCTCATGCCTGCAATCCCAGCACTTTGGGAGGCCGAGGCGGGTGGATCACGAGGTCAGGAGTGCAAGACCAGCCTGGCTACCATGGTGAAACCCCCTCTCTACTGAAAATACAAAAATTAGCCAGGCATGGTGGCACATGCCTGTAATCCCAGCTACTTGGGAGGCTGAGGCAGGAGAATCGCTTGAACCCAGGAGGTGGAGGTTGCAGTGAGCCGAGACCCCGCCACTGCACTCCAGCCTGGCAACAGAGCGAGACTCCGTCTCAAAAAAACAAAAAAAATCTACATAGATAGCTTGGGTTGTATACCCATGGCAGGATGTATTTTCCAGCCTCACTCTGCCCTGGAATAATGAAACTGTATTTTAAAAACATTCATATAAATTAATCAGTGGATAGCTTTCCTTCATATATTTTAGTGTGAATTTTACAACTGATTGATGAATATTATCTAATTATGCTTTTGTATTAAATGAATTAAATCAGCCAGAGTAAAATACCAAGGTCATTCATTAAAGCATAAGTGCAAACTGTAACATTAATAATAATGGTACTAAAATAATAAAAATAGTGCTAATAATAATACTTTTTTAAGAATTTGTTACAAGATATTTCTACTTTATGCACATTGCTTCGAGTATTGACTATCATAATGAACTAGCTTTTATTACCCATATTTTATATGGAAAGAAATGATACATACAGACATTAAATACAATAACTTGTTCATAACACAGCTAGTATATTGCAGAGGTAGGATTTGAAACAATGACTGATTCCAAAGACTGTTATGCTATATTGCCTTATGTATGTTTGCAATTTCCCCTGTGGCAGTCCTTTAAAAACTTCTTAAATCACTCTTTTGAGAACAGGTGGAAAGTAAACTGAAAGTTTTTCACAACTTGTAAATTAACTGTCATAATATTAAATTATACATATTTTAAATGAACACAATGAATGTAGGATGTTACCCAGTAGCTACAAAATATTGCCAACATTCTCTAAAATGAAACTTAAAGGAGAAATGTAATTCAAGCCGGTTAACCCTGATCCCAAGTTGTTTTAAATCTTTGGCTTTTTAAAATATACTTAAAGTTATTTATAAAGTTACAGTGGGTGTGCACCTATAACGGAAGGGGTCCGATATTGCACAACTGAAATTTCATTTATTAATACAAGTTTAGCATCCCAAATTTGAAAATCTGAAATACAAAACGCTCCCAAATCTGAAACTTTTTGAATCCTAACATGACGCTCAAAGGAAATTTCAGATTTCACATTTTCAGATTTGGGATGCTCAACTGGGATAATGCAACTATTCCAAAATTTGAAAAAATCTGAAATCTGAAACACACTTTGAATCTCAAGCATTTTGGATAAGGGATACTCACTCTGCATGTAGTCCACTTATTCCTTTTGTCCAGACATGAATGCCTGTATTGCTTCACTGAAAACAAAGAGAAATAGCACATCCATCTTAGAAAAAGTGGCTACCTTGTCCGGGCGCGGTGGCTCACGCCTGTAATCCCAGCACTTTGGGAGGCCTAGGTGGGCGGATGACGAGGTCAGGAGATCAAGACCATCCTGCTAACATGGTGAAACACCGTCTCTACTAAAAATACAAAAAATTAGCCAGGCGTGGTGGCGGGCGCCTGCAGTCCCAGCTACTCAGGAGGTTGAGGCAGGAGAATGTCGTGAACCCAGGAGGCGAAGCTTGCAGTGAGCCGAGATCATGCCACTGCACTCCAGCCTGGGCGAGAGTGCAAGACTCCGTCTCAAAAAAAAAAAAAAAAAAAAAAAGAAAAGAAAAGAAAAAGTGGCTACTTTTATGAATTAGCTGTGGATTTCTGCAACATGAAAGGTTATCTATTATGTACCTATAAATAGTTTAAATCCCACTTTAAAAAGGGGAAAATAATCATTGCAATTGGTTTTTATTTGTAGTATAGCAAACTGGAATCTGAGGAGCGTTTAAAAATATCCTGGGGAAATATTATTGGTCACAAAATTTGGCGGGGCATGGTGGCTCATGCCTGTAATCCCAGTACTTTGGGAGGCCGAGGCAGGCAGATCATGAGGTCAGGAGATCAAGACCATCCTGGCTAACACGGTGAAACCCCGTCTCTACTAAAAATACAAAAAATTAGACGGGCGTGGAGGTGGGCACCTGTAGTCCCAGCTACTCGGGAGGCTGAGGCAGGAGAATGGCGTGAACCCGGGAGGCAGAGCTTGCAGTGATCCGAGATCGTGCCACTGCACTCTGCCCTGGGTTCTACTTGGTTTTGTATTTTTAAAGTGGTTTTTGATAAATTTGTAAACTTAATTTTACAGATTTTTAAATGGATTTTTTAAAGATAATTTAAATAATGTGTATATTACATTCATCTCTCCTATAGGCTCTGAGATATAATAGTGGCTATGATTAAGAAATTCTTTCAGTGATTATGCTAAGGTCTTTGGTTACAGACAATTAAGAGCATGGGCTTTGGTATTTTATAGCTCATGATTCAAGTCCTAAGACTTAATTGTTAAGGCCTTAGTGAAGTTAATTAACTTCTTTTAACTAAAGTATTTCTTTCCTTTACAAATGGAGAATGGGGCATGGTAGGAATTAAAGGGAATAAAATAATTTGTGCTATACAAATGTGGTGATGGTGGTTGTTATGAGCTACGTGAGCATAGAGATCTTGTCTGTTGGGCATTGTGTACTTAGTTCCTAGAATAGCACTTGACACATAGTGTTAATACACAAAAGTTAAATTAGCTTTTCTAAATGCATGAATAAATATCATTATTGTAATTAGTATCACACAGTCCAAGGAAATACTTTGAAACAGAAAGTAGATAACACTTTCAAATCTACCCACCTAAAAAAAATCCTGAAATTGTTTTTTTCTTGGATTAAGAAACAACGAGAGTCACTGGTGATTTCTACAGAATACAGAATATAGTTGAGCAATAGTGAGCAGGAAATGAATGAGAAATTTTACAAAATAAAAACTCAATGTAAAATTACATTTCAAGCAATTGACCATAAAAGAAGATGGATATAAAGCAAGCTAAATAAAATATACACCATTTTGTTATGATTGGTATTTTTTTTCAAAATTTAGATTTGGAGGAATAGCAAAGAAATAGATATCACGAATAAATAAAGTCTGTGATGAGATGAAAGCAAGCGAAGATACAGTTGGAGAATTAGATTATAACAAAAGGTGCACTATTTTTCTGGGTCATAGGAAAGAAAGAACCAATTATGAAAATTCAGGTATATTAGTATATTCAAAGATGAACAGGAAAGGGTTAACTTGGCAGGCTGAGGTTGCTTAAACCTTGAACATTCAAAACCAGGACTAGCCTTTGTCTGGCTCCTAGAAGATACCCTCTGAAACCTCGGAATATTCTGCTTGATAGGATTGTGTTTTTATGCTTGAGCCTTTGAAAAAGCTATACCAGTTTGACCAATTAAGTTAATTCTGTTAATGAAGTCTGTGGTAAAAGGCCTATTTTTGCTGAGGCTGAAGGTGGGGTTGAAGAAGGGATGCAGCTGGAACATGAGAGGCTGAGGCTGGTAAAATGGGCACCAGGCACCAGGCACCAGCAGTACTGCATAGATGATAGGTTTCATCTGGTGTTGACCCATCTGTTATAATCTGTTCTAAGGTTGCAAAATAAAGTTGTAATACATTTCTGCCCCTTAGGTAGGTGTATGTCATACTACTTTAAGACTAGATAACTAAATCCTGCTGGATCAGCCAAATCCTATACCCACCACTCAAAAACCATTCCTAAGCATATGGATAATTGATGATCCATTGGTGATATAATCATTTTACAAGAAAAACAACACTTCAATGATTTCAAAACAGAATCTTTTATTGCTCAGTATAATGTTAGCTATAGGTTTGTCATATGTGTCTTTTATTGTATTGAGTAAGTTCCTTTTTTTTTTTGAGATGGAGTCTTGCTCTGTCACCAGGCTGGAGTGCATGGGCACAATCTCAGCTCACTGCAAACTTTGCCTCCAAGGTTCAAGTGATTCTCCTGCCTCGTCCTCTTGAGTAGTTGGGATTACAGGCACATACCACCATGCCCAGCTAATTTTTGTATTTTTAGTAGAGATGAGGTTTCACTATGTTGTTCAAGCTGGTTTCGAACTTCTGACCTCATTATCCACCCACCTCAGCTCTCGAAGTGCTGGGATTATAGGAATGAGCCACCGTGCCTGGCCTGTAAGTTCCTTTTATACCTAATTTGTCTAGGGTTTTGATCACAAAGTGATGATAAATTTTATTGAATTGTTTTTTCTGTGTCTATTGAGATGATCATAAGATTTTTGTCCTGCATTTTGTTAATGTGATGCATCATGTTTATTGATTTGCATATATTGAACCATCCTTGCATCACTGTGATGAATCCCACTTGATCATCGTGAATGAGGAAATTATCATCTGATTCACTATTGAATTCAGCTTGGTAGTATTTTGTTGAGGATTTTTACTTCTATTTTTATCACGGGTGTTGTGTCTTATGGTTTAAGATTATGGTTGAGTTTTTGTAAGGTTTTGGTAGCAGGGTAATACTGGCCTTACAGAATGAGTTAGGCGAATTCTCTCCATTTGAATATTTTAGAATAGTTTGAGAAGACCTTGTATTAATTATTTAAATATTTGATAGATTTCCATGGTGAATCCATCTGGTTCTAGGCTTTTCTTTGAAGAGAGAGTTTTATTACTAATTTAATTTCATTATTCATTAATAGTCTGCACAGGTTTTTATTTCTTTATATTTCAATCTTGCTAAGTTGTTTGTGTCCAGAAATTTATCAATTTCTTCTAGGTTTTCCAATTTGAGTGTATGTAGTTGTTCATAATAATCTTTAATGATGGTTTCTATGCCTGTAGCACCAGTTATAATGTCTTCTTTTTAATCTCTGATTTAATCTATTTGTCATCTCTCTTTGGCTTAGTTACTCTAGCTAAAGGTTTGTCAATTTTGTTCATCTTTTGAAAAAATATTTGTTTCATTGATTTTTTTTTAGTTTCTATTTGATTTATTTCTGCTGCAATCTTTATTATTTCTTTTCTACTAACTTTGGGTTGAAATCATTCTCATTTTTCTAGTTGCTTGTGCTAGGTTGTCTATTTGAGATATTTCTGCTTTTTTCATGTAGGTGTTTATTACTATAAATTGTTCTTGTAAACCTACTTTTGCTGTGTCCCATACCTTTGTATATTTTGTAGTTTTATTTCTATTTTCTCATAATTTTGTAAAAATGTATTTATTGACCTATTTGTTGTTCAAAAACTTGTTTAATTTCTATGTATTTGTGCAGTTTCCAATATTCCTTCTGTTATTGATTTTTAGTTTTTATTCCATTATGGTCAGAAAAGATACTTAATATGATTTTGACTTTTTAAATTTGTTAAGACTTATTTTGTGGCTTAATATATGATCTGTCATGCAGAATGTCCCACATATTGTTGAGAACAATGTGTATTCTACAGCTGTTTCATGAAATGTTCTGAAAATGTCTGTTAGTTGCATTTAGTCTACGATGTGGTTTAACTGATGTTTCTCTGTTGATTTTCTGTCTCAATGATCTGTTCATTGCTGACAGTGAATTGTCAAAATCTACTATTATTATATTGCATTCAATCTTTCTTTATATTATATATATATATTTGCTTTATAAGTTTAGTTGTTCCTATGTTGAGTGCATAGATATTTACAATTGTTATATCATCGGGCTGTATTTACCTTTTTAATCACTATATAATGGCCTAATTTGTTCTTTTTACAGTTTTTGGCTCAACATTTATTCTATCTGATATAAGTATAGCTACTCCTGCTCTTTTTTGGTTTCCATTTGCATGGAATATCTTTTCCCATCTCTTCTCTATCAGTCTATGTGTATCCTTACATTAAAATGAATCTATTGTAGCTAGGATTTAGTGGAGTCGTGCTGTTGTGTTTTTTTAATTCTTTAAGCCACGCTATGTCTTTTAATTGTATGACTTAATCAATTTATATTCAAGGTAATTATTTACAGGCAAGGGCTTAACTACTGCCATTTTCTTATTTGTTGTCTAGTTTTAGAAATGCTTTTCTCCTTTCATTTTCTCTTTCAGTCTTCCTTTGTAGTTATGTGATTTTCTCTAGTAGTATGTTTTTTTTTCTTTTTCTTTTTAGTGTATCATTTATAGGTTTTTGCTTTGTAGTTAATATGAGGCCTTTAATATCACACTTTACATTTTTTACATTGTCTATCTGATATGGTTTGGCTGTGTCCCCACCCAAATCTCAACTGGACTTTTCTCTCTCAGAATTCCCATGTGCTGTGAGAGGGACCCAGGGGGAGGTAATTGAATCATGGGGCCAGTTTTTCCCATGCTATTCTTGTGATAGTGAATAAGACTCATGAAATCTGACGGGTTTATCTGGAGTTTCCGCTTTTGTTTCTTCCTCATTTTCTTTTGCCGCTGCCATGTAAGAAGTGCCTTTCAACACCTGCCAGGATTCTGAGGTCTTCCCAGCCATGTGGAAATGAAATTCCTATTAAAACTGTTTTTCTTCCCAGTCTCAGGTATGTCTTTATCAGCGGTGTGAAAACAGACTAATACAGTAAATTGATACTGAGAGTGGGTGTTGCTGAAAGATACTCAAAAATGTGGAAGCGACTTTGGAACTGGGTAACAGGCAGAGATTGGAACAGTTTGGAGGGCTCAGAAGAAGAGAGAAAAATGTGGGAAATTATGAAACTTCATAGAGAGTTGTTGAATGGCTTTGACAAAAATGCTGATAGTGACATGAACAATGAGGTCCAGGCTGAAGTGGTCTCAGATGGAGATGAGAAATTTGTTGGAAACTGGAGCAAAGGTGACTCTTGTTATGGTTTAGCAAAAAGACTGGTAGCATTTTGCTCCTGCCCTAGATATTTGAGGAACTTTGAAGTTGACAGAGGTAATTTAGGGTATCTGGCAAAGAAATGTCTACGCAGCAAAGCATTCAAAAGGTGACTTGAGTGCTGTTAAAATCATTACATTTTAAAAGGGAAACAGAGCACAAAAGTTCAGAAAATTTGCAGCCTGATGATGCAGTAGAAAAAAAAATTTTTTTTTGAGGAGAAATTCAAGCCAGCTGGAGAAATTTGCTAAGTAGCAAGGGGCCCAATATTTAATCCCCAAGACCATGGGGAAAGTTTCTCCAGGCCATGTCAGAGACCTTCATGGCAGCCTCTCCCATCACAGGCCTGGAAGCCCAGGAGGAAAAAGTGGTTTCCTGGGCCAGGCCCAGGGACTCTGTGCTGTGTGCAGCCTAGGGACTTGGTACCCCGTGTCCCAGCTGCTCCAGCCATGGCTGAAAGAGGCCAACGTAGAGCTTGAGATTTGGCTTCAGAGGGTGGAAGTCCCAAGCCTTGGCAGTTTCCACATGGTGTTGAGCCTGCAGGTGCGCAGAAGTCAAGAATTTAGGTTGGGCAACCTCCACCTAGATTTCAGAAGATGTATGGAAATGCCTAGATGCCCAGGCAGTTTGCTGAAGGGGCAGGGCCCTCATGGAGAACTTCTGCTAGGGCAGTGTGGAAGGAAAATATGATGTTGGAGCCCCCACCCAGAGTCCCTACTGGGGAACTGCCTAGTGGAGCTATGCTGTGATAAGGGGCCACCATCCTCCAGAACCCAAAATGGTAGATCCACTGACAGCTTGCACTATGCACCTGAAAAAGCTGCAGATACTCAATGCCAGCCCTTGAAAGCAGCTGAAAGGGAGGCTGTACCCTGCAAAGCCACAGGGATAGAGCTGCTCAAGACCATGGGAACCCACTTCTTGCATCAGCATGACCTGGATGTGAGACACGGAGTTAAAGGAGACCATTTTGGACATTTTGGAGCTTTAAAATTTGACTGCACCACTGGATTTCAGACTTGCATGAGCTCTGTAACCCCTTAGTTTTGCCCAATTTCTCCCATTTGGAATGGTTGTATTTACCCAATGTCTATAACCCCGTTATATCTAGGAAGTAACTAGCTTGCTTTTGATTTTACAGGCTTATAGGCAGAAAGGACTTGCCTTGTCTCAGATGAAACTTTGGACTGCGGACTTTTGGGTTAATGCTGAAATGAGTTAAGACTGTGGGGAACTGTTGGGGTGGTGTGATTGGTTTTGAAATTTGAGAACATGAGATGTGGAGGGGCCAGGTGTGGAATGATATGGTTTGGCTCTATCCCCAGGCACATGTCAACTTGAATTTTATCTCCCAGAATGCTCCTGTGTTGTGAGAGGGATGCAGGGGGAGGTAATTGAATCATGGAGGTCAGCTTTTCCTGTGCTATTCTTGTGATAATGAATAAGTCTCATGAGATCTGATGGGTTTATCAGGGGTTTCCATTTTTACTTCTTCATTTTCTTTTGCCACACCATGTAAGAAGTGCATTTTGCCTCTCACCATAATTCTGAGGCCTCCCCAGCCATGTGGAACTGTAAGTCCAATTAAACCTCTCTTTCTTCCCAGTCTCAGGTATGTCTTTATCAGCAGCAGGAAAACAGACTAATACATTATCTCTGAACAAGTATTATAGTTGTTGTTATTAATAATTTGTCTTTTAGTGTTTATACTAAAAATATTTGTAGTTTAATACCATGACCACTATACTAAAATAACAACATGTTAGTGTCTTTTTCTTTCAACTGGAAGAACTCTCATTAGCATTTCCTTGTAGGATGTTCTTCTAGCAATGAATTCCCTCAGCTTTTGTTTGGGAAAGTCTTCATTTCTCTTTCATTTCTGAAAGATAGCTTTGTTCTGTAGAGTATTCTTGGTTGGCAGGCTTTTGTTTTGTTTCTTTTTTTTTTTTCAGCACTCTGAATATATCATCCTACTCACTCCTGGCTGGTAAGGTTTCTGCTGATAACTTTGCTGCCAGACATATTGAATCTCCCTTATATGTTGTTTCTTTTCTCTTGCTGCTTTCAGCATCTTCTCTTTGTCTTTGACCTTTGAGAGTTTATTCATAATATTCTTGGGATATTCTTATTTGAGTTGAATCTGACTGTGGACTGTTCACCTTCCTATAGTGAATATTTATATCTTCCAGTAGGTTTGGAAAATGATTCTGTTTTTATTTCTTCAAATAATCTTTCAATCTCTTCATCTTTCTTAATTTCCACTTTAACTCCTATAAATTAAATAATTTCTTTTTTGATGTTGTCACATAAATCTCATATGCTTTCTTAATTACTTTTCATTGTTTTTACTTTATTCTTTTTTGATTGTATAATTTCAAATAGCCCATCTTTGAGCTCACTGATTTTTTTCTTCTGTTTGGTTAATTATGTAGCTGAACGTTTCTATCGCATCTTTCCTTTTATTCATTACAGTTTTCACCTCCAAGATTTCTGTTTTCTCTCTGTTAAACTTCTCTTGTAAACTTTTCAATTGATTCTTTGCATTTTTTAAAATTCATTGAGCTTCTTGAAAATAGCTATTTTAAACTATTTGTCTGAGAGATAAAATACCTCCATCATGTTAGGGTTGGTGTCTAGTGTCTCATTTTGTGCTTGGTGAGGTAGTATTTCTCTGAATTTTCTTAATACTTTTGGACAAGTGACAATTCCTATGCCTTGAGGGATAAGGTATATATTCCCATTTTCAAAGACTAGCTTTATTTGTGCCTGCTCTTCAGAGAGCCTTTCAGAGATTCTAAGCAGATTAACTGTTGTGTTCCCTAAGCCTACAACCACTGCAGTCATCTAAGCACAAGAGGGAGCTCTAAAATAAAGCTTGCCACAAATCACATAAGTCTCAACAGCTGATAAAACTTTCAGGATGGGATATACCTCGGGAAGACCCAGAGAGAGTTCTGGGGCTGTTTGAGAAAGATGGCTAGACATTTGAGCCCAGAAGACTGTCCTGGTGTCATACAAATGTGCTTCTGTGCAGGTTTCCGCACAAGTGGAATAGGTTCTAGACTGCAGCAAGATGAGCTGGGGTTGAGACAGCACCCCCACTTTCCCTGACACCCAACTCTGTATCTGCTGTGGGATGAAAGCTGGAAAATTCATTTCATTGGCTAAGATGACTGTGCATCTCCCAGCAGGTTCCTGTACAGTTGGGATAGTTACTCAATGGCAGCAGGAAGGGCTGAAACTGAGACAAGCCCCCTAAGGATCTTTTGTGGGATGAAGGCTGGTGAACGTGTCTCATTGAAAAAGCAGGGTATCTCTTAGCAGGTCCCAGCACAGATGGGATAGTTTCCCAAATGCAGTGGAAGAGACTGGAGCTAAAACCAGGCCCCTCAGAATCTGCTGTAGGATGGACACAGAAGAGCTTGTCTTCTTGGCTCAGAGGTATATGCATCTACCAGCAGGTTCCTGCATAGACAGGATAGTTCACCAACTGCTGTGGGAGAGGTCTGAGCTAAGATGAGGCCCCCTTGGAATCTACTGTAAGACAGAAGCTGGATAGCCTGTCTCACTGTCTCAGAGGGGCACATGTCTCCTATCAGTTTTCTTCATAGAAGAAATACTTCCCCAACTTTTAACTAAAACAGAAAAGGCTACAGCTGAGTCTGGGCCCCTTTGGTATCTGCTGTGGGAGCTAGTCTCATTGGCTGAAATGGACATATGTTTCTCAGGTTTCTGCACAGACAGGATAGGTCCGTGACTGCAGCAGGAGAGACCAGGGTTGAGGCTGGCACTCCTTGGGATTTGATGTCAGCTGGAAGCTGGAGGGCTTTCAAGGAGGTTCAGAGTCACAGGTTGGGAAATATGGTAAGTCTGCCTCTGAGTCCTTTTTCCAGGTATATTGAGCTGGAACCTCAGCAGAAGGGAGCTGGAGGTAACACAGGGCAACTTTCAGGTATGTTGCTAAAACCAATGCTACCAGGCTAAGGAGCCTCTGCACTGAGGCATTAATGAGTGCAACTCCTCCTGGTCCCTTTGGTAGACAGTTTTGGTTGCAGAGTCAAGGACAACTGCTGCTATAGCCATGTCTTCTGGGGAATGGGGCCATTTCCAGGCTTGAATCCAATGGCACAATCAGCAGATCTCCCACCTGGGTATTTGCACTCTCAAAACAAGTCTCCTTGGTCTTGGGTTCCACTAGGGTTTCACAACCTCCAGCCTGAATTCCAAGGCTCCCACAGAGAGACTTTTGTTTGTGGATGGGTGCAAAATTCTTGTTGTTATGGGGAGATATAAGTGAGTTACCTCTTATTCTGCTGTCTTGCTGCAGATATTCAATTTCTTATAGTTCGTTGTTCTATGATTCTCATTAAGAACCTTCCAATCTGTGATTTAGGGGACCTGTTCAATCTCCAGCTAATATTCATATCCCAGTCAGTAAGTAAGAGAAAAATGAAAAGGAAAGTAAGAGAGCAATATGATTTGCTTTAATGAAACTTCCTTTATGCTAAATACAACACTTCCCCTTTTTTTAAATAACCACAATTAAGAAAGCTAGGAAATAAAATCATTATTCTAGGTAACTTTGATGCCTTGGTAAAGGGAATAATATAACTGCAGAAAAAAAGCATAATTGAAATTACAGAACTGACAGATTCTCACAAGGGTTTTATCTTCTTTGCTTAATGCAAGGTAGGTAGAAGTATCGGGGCTCCAAATTTATATATTTTTTCACTGAAATAGTAGTTTTTAAACATTTACAGGTTTTCTTTTTTTTTCTTTGTTTTTATTATACTTTAAGTTTTAGGGTACATGTGCACAACGTGCAGGTTAGTTACATATGTATACATGTGCCATGTTGGTGTGCTGCACCCAGTAACTCGTCATTTAACATTAGGTATATCCCCAAATGCTATCCCTTCCCCCTCCCCCAATCCCACAACAGGCCCAGGTGTGTGATGTTCCCCTTCCTGTGTCTATATGTTCTCATCGTTCAATTAGAGAAAAAAGAATAAAAAGAAATGAACAAAGACTCCAAAAAATATGAGACTATGTGAAAAGACCAAATCTACGTCTGATTGGTATATCTGAAAGTGACAGGGAGAATGGAACCAAGTTGGAAAACACTCTGCAGGATATTATCCAGGAGAACTTCCCCAATCTAGCAAGGCAGGCCAACATTCAAATTCAGGAAATACAGAGAACGCCACAAAGATATGCCTCGAGAAGAGCAACTCCAAAACACATAATTGTCAGATTCACCAAAGTTGAAATGAAGGAAAAAATGTTAATGGCAGCCAGAGAGAAAGGTTGGGTTACCCACAAAGGGAAGCCCATCAGACTAACAGCTGATCTCTTGGCAGAAACTCTACAAGCCAGAAGAGAGTGGGGGCCAATATTCAACATTCTTAAAGAAAAGAATTTTCAACCCAGAATTTCATATCCAGCCAAACTAAGCTTCATAAGTGAAGGAGAAATAAAACACTTCACAGACAAGCAAACGTTGAGAGATTTTGTCACCACCAGGCCTGCCCTAAAAGAGCTCCTGAAGGAAGAACTAAACATGGAAAGGAACAACCGGTACCAGCCACTGCAAAAACATGCCAAATTGTAAAGAACATTGAGGCTAGGAAGAAACTGCATCAACTAATGAGCAAAATAACCAGCTAACATCATAATGACAGGATCAAATTCACACATAACAATATTAAACTTAATTATAAATGGACTAAATGCTCCAATTAAAAGACACAGACTGGCAAATTGGATAAAGAGTCAAGACCCAGCAGTGTGCTGTATTCAGGAAACCCATCTCACATGCAGAGACACACATAGGCTCAAAATAAACGGATGGAGGAAGATCTAACAAGCAAATGGAAAACAAAAAAAGGCAGGGGTTGCAATCCTAGTTTCTGATAAACAGACTTTAAACCAACAAAGATCAAAAGAGACAAAGAAGGCCATTACATAATGGTAAAGGGATCAATTCAACAAGAGCTAACTATCCTAAATATATATACACCCAATATTCGTAGGCTGCACAACAATTCGCTGCTATCTCCAGAATGTGCAGGGGTCTCTGAAACTCAACACTGTCAGTGGACCAGGAGCACCCAGATTCATAAAGCAAGTCCTTAGAGACCTACAAAGAGACTTAGACTCCCACACAATAATAATGGGAGACTTTAACACCCCACTGTCAACATTAGACAGATCAATGAGACAGAAAGTTAACAAGGATATCCAGGAATTGAACTCAGCTCTGCACCAAGTGGACCTAATAGACATCTACAGAACTCTCCACCCCAAATCAACAGAATATACATTCTTCTCAGCACCACATCACACTTATTCCAAAATTGACCATATAGTTGGAAGTAAAGCTCTCCACAGCAAATGTAAAAGAACAGAAATTATAACAAAGTGTCTCTCAGACCACAGTGCAATCAAACTAGAATTCAGGATTAAGAAACTCACTCAAAACCACTCAACTACATGGAAACTGAACAACCTGCTCCTGAATGACTACTGGGCACATAACAAAATGAAGGCAGAAATAAAGATGTTTTTTGAAACCAACGAGAACAAAGACACAACATACCAGAATTTCTGGGACACATTCAAAGCAGTGTGTAGAGGGAAATTTATAGCACTAAATGCCCACAAGAGAAAGCAGGAAAGATCTAAAATTGACACCCTAACATCACAATTAAAACAACTAGAGAAGCAAGAGCAAACACATTCAAACATTTACAGGTTTTCAAGTTGAGAATCTGACAAAAACTATAATCCACAGAAAAATATTCATGTACAGATAATATTTCCTAGGTTTTCTTCTAGGATTTTTAGAGTTTAAGATCTTCCATTAAGTCTTTAACTCACCTTGAGTTAATTTTTGTATATGGTGATAGGCAGAGTTTTAGTTACATTGTTTTGCATGTGGGAACCTAATTATGTCAGTACCATTAATTTAATAGGGAGTACATTTTCCATTTTTTATTTTTGTCAACTTTATCAAAGATCAGATGGTTGTAGGAGAGCATATTTATTTTTGGGTTTTCTATATTGTTCCATTTGTCTGTGTCTATTTTGTACTGGTCCCATATTGTTTTGGTAGCTGTAGCCTTGTAGCATAGTTTGACGTTGGGTAATATGGTGCCTCTGGCTTTGTTCTATTTTGTTTAGGAGTGCTTTGGCTTTTTGGGTTCTTTTTTACTTTGATATAAATTTTAGAATTTTTTGAATTCTGTAAGTAATGTTATTGGTAATTTAATAGGAACAGCATTGAATTTGTAAATTGCTTTGGGCAATATGGCCATTTTAACAAAATTGATTCTTCCCATTCATGAGCATAGAATATTTTTCCATTTGTTTGTGTCATCTCTGATTTCTTTCATCAATGTTCTGTAATTCTCTTTGTAGAGATCTTTTGTCTCTTTTGTTAGATGTATTCCTAGGTATTTTATTCTTTTTGTGGCTATTGTAAGTGAGACTGCATTCTTCATCTGGCTCTTAGTTTGAACGTTCTTGGTGTATGGAAATATTACTGATTTTTGTACTTTGATTCTGTATCCTGGGACTTTACTGAAGTCATTTATGAGTTCTAGGAGACTTTTGGCAGAGTCTTTAGAGTTTTCTAGATATCAAATCATAGAGTCCATGAATATAGATAGTTTTCCTGTTTGAATGCCTTTTATATTTTCTCTTGCCTGATTGCTGTAGCTAGGACTTCAGTACTACTTTAAATAGCAGTGCTGAGAGTAGCTGTTTACGTCTTGTTGTAGCCCTCAAAAGAAATGCTTCCAGCTTTTGTTCATTCAAGTATGATGTTGGCTGTGGATTTGTCATAGATAACTCTTATTATTTTGAGATATGGTCCTTTAGTAACTAGTTTGTTAAGAGCTTTTATCATGAAGGAGGTTGGATTTCATCAAGAGCTTTTTCTGCATCTATTGAGATGATTATATGGTTTTTGTTTTCAATTCTGTTCATATGATGAATCACATTTATTGATTTCTGTAGGTTGAACCAATGCATCCCAGGAATAAAGTCTACTTGATCATGTTGAATGAAATTTCTGATATGCTGCTGGGTTTGGTTTGCCAGTGTTGTGTTGAGGATATTTGCATCTATGTTTATCAGGGATATTGGCCTGTAGTTTTCTTTTTTCTTTGTGTCTCTGCCAAGGTTTGGTATCAGAATGATGTTGGCTTCACAGAATGAGTGAGGAAGGAGCCCCTTCTCAATTTTTTTGAATAGTTTAAATCAGATTAGTATCATCTCTTCTTTTCATGCCTGGAAGAATTCAGCCGTGAATCTATCTGGTCCAGGGCTTTTTTTTTTTTTACTTTTAATTACTGATTTGATTTTGAAACTTGTTCTTGATCTGTTAAGAGTTTCCATTTCTTCCTGGTTCAACTTTGGGAGGTTGTATGTTTCTAGGAATTTATCCATATCCTTTATATTTTCCTGTTTGTGCACATAGAGGTTTCACAATAGCCTCTGAGAATCTTTTGTTTTTCTGTGGAATAGGTTGTAATTCATCTTTGTCATTTCTTATTGTGCTTATTTGGATCTTCTTTATTTTTTCCTTGTTAATCTAGCTAGTGGTCTATCAGCCTTTTTAATCCTTTTAAAGAAACTTTTTTCTTGCTTGTTTCCCTAATCCTTTCTATAGATATATTTTCATCTAAATTGTATTCAGTTCTGCTCTAATTTTAGTTATTTTTTTCTTCTGCTAGCTTTAGAGTTAGTTCTTGATTTCTAATTCCTCTAAATGTGATGTTACATTGTTAATTTGAGATCTATTCAACTACTTGATGTAGGTGTTTAGTACTACAAACTTTCCACTTAACACTGCTTTCACCACATCCCAAAGATTTTGATACGTTGTGTCTCTATTTTCATTAATTCCAAATATTTTTAAATATTTACTTTAATATTGTTGTTTACCCAAAAGTCATTCAGGAGTATGTTATTTATTTAATTTATATGTAATTGTGTGGTTTTGGGATAACTTCTTGGTATTTATTCTATTTCTATTCCACTGTGATCTGAGAGTGAGGTTGGTATGATTTCACTATTTTTTCAATTTATAGAGATTTGCTTCAAAGAATTGGTATTTGAATTCTGAGGATTTGTTCAGTCTTAGATTATGTTCTGTGTGCAGATGAGAAGATGTATATTCTCCGATTGTTTAGTGGAATGTTCTGTAGATGTCTATTAGATACAATTATTCATGTTGTGTTTGACTCCAGAGTTTCTTTGTTGAATTTCTGCCTTGTTAATCTTTCTAATTATTTCGCTGGGGTGTTAAAGTCCCCCACTATTATTGTGCAGCTGTTTAAGTTTTTTCATAGGTCTGGAAAGATTTGATTTATGAATCTGGTTGCTTCACTGTTGGGTGCATACATATTTAGGATAGCTAAGTCTTCTTGTTGAATTGAACCCTTTCCATTATTTAATACCCTTCTTTCTCCTTTTTGACTGTTGTTGGTTTAAAGTCTGTTTTATATACTATAAGAATAGCAATCTCTGCTCTTTTTTGTTTTCTGTTTGCATGATAGATCTTTTTTCATCCCTTCACTTTGAGCCTATGTGTGTATTACAAGTGAGTTGGATCTCTTGAAAATAGCAGGTGTTTGGGTCTTGTTTTTTCATTCAACTTGCCACTCTGTGCCTTTTAAGTGGGACACTTAGAACATTTACAATCAAGGTTAATATTTATATGTGAGGTTTTGATGCTGTTCTTGTGTTGTTAGCTGATTGTTTTGTAGACTTAATGTGTAGTTGCTTCATAAGGTCTATGGGTCTGTGGGCTATGTTCTTAACTGTTTTTGTGGTAGTGTCATTCATTCATTTTCATCTTTAGAACTCCCTTAAGGACCTCTTATAAGGCTTATCTAGTGGTAACAAATTCCCTTAGTGTTTGCCTGTCTGAAAATGATTTTATTTTTTCTTTGCTTATGAAGCTTAGTTTGGCAGGATATGAAATTCTTGATTGGAATTTCTTTTTTTAAGGACGCTGAAAATAGATTTCCAATCTTTTCTGGTTTATAAGGTTTCTGCTAAAAAGTAATTTTTAACCTGATTGGAGTCCCTTTGTAAGTGATGTGACTCTTTCTCTAGCTGCCTTTAAGGATTTTTCTTCATGTTGAACTTGAAGCATCTGATGACTGTGTATCATGGGGATGGTCATTGTGCATAGTAACTCATAGAAGTCCTCTGAATTGCTTAAATTTGCATGCCAATCTCTCTAGTTATATTGAGGAAATCTTCATGACTATATACTCTAGTATGTTTTCCAAGTTGCTTACTCTCTCTTATTTTCTCTCGGGAATGTCAATGGGTTACAGGGTTGGTCTCTTCATATAATCTGATATTTCTCAGATGTTTTGTTCATTTTTTAAAATTTTAAAAACAATTTTGTCAGACTAGGTTGATTCAGAAGATTGATATTCATGGTCTGAGACTCTTTCCTGAGGTTGTTCTCTTCTGTTGTTAATTTTTCCAATGGTAATATGAAATTCCTATCATGAATTTTTCAATTCCAGTAGTCCAGCTTAGTTCTTTCTTAAAATGGCTATGTAATTTTTCAACTGTTGAATCATTTTCTTGGCTTCTTTGGATTGAGTTTTAACTTTCTCCTGAATCTCATCGAGCTTCCTTGCCACTGATATTCAGAACTGTATATTTCTCATTTCAGCCATTTCAATTTTGTTAGAAGCCATCTCTGGTGAGCTAGTGCAATAAGGAGATTAAAACTTGTGTGAAGATGAGGAAAAAGCTTTCCTTAGATCTCAGAAGCCACTAAACCAACACTAAACTACAACCTCGGTCAATAGTTTGCTTTTACATTAAAAGTAGGTCAAATCCTAAATTGTTGCACTTTCCCTGAGTTAAAATTATCTAGATGTCATTTAAGAAAGTGTATAGGTAGTTAACACTAGTCTATCTTGAGGAAAAAAACTGTATATGCAATTAAGTAATTTAGATAGCAACTTTGTAAATACTGTAATTACCTTTTAACATTCTATTATACCCATTTTAAAAGTGTGTCATAATTTTTATTGATGCCTGAAAGTAGTATTTTCTTTTACTTTCACAAAGATACAGATTAGTTCCATCATCATTTTTGAGATTGCATTTACCCTGAAAAAATTATAGGGAATTAAGTGTCAAACGTTGTCTCCTATTTGAGTTCCTCCTTTTCAGGGAAAATTATATAGAATTAAATACTGTTGGGGTTGAAAGAAACCTTAAAGGTTACCTACTTTAACCCCACCCTTCTGAAGCATAAACTAGATGCTTGCTTATAAGAAGTGACAGTTTTAGCAAATATAATTTCAAGAAATAATATATTTAAAGTTGTAGTATAGGTCCTGTGTGTAACAAAGAAAATAAAGAAATTTCACAAAACTGTTAGTCTGTTAAGAGCAGGAGCATAGCATTCCTCTCACATTTAAAACTACAGAAAGATAGCAGCACAATGATAAAGATGATAATAAAAAGAAGAAGCCAGAAAACTTTGGGGTGCAGCTGCCACCCAAGTAAAAGGAAATAATTGGAAAGTAACAAAGCAAATATGTATATGTAGTTTGGCCCTTTGATTACTTCTGTATATAATGCATTTATTCATTTATTTTTAAAGTGGGGAATGAAGAACAAGGAAGAGGAAAACAGAGCACTGACAATACAGAGGCCAAGAAATGTAAATAGAGCTTTTTATTCTGGTAAATAATATGAGGGTAGTATTTTTCTTTCTTTGTAGAGAATTAAATTTTATAATTGATCAACAAATATCATATTCCCATATCTATGTCCTAGAGATATGTAAATGAGAAATAAGTATATTTAGAGGGTGCTAAAATCATACTTATTAAAAGCTGAGAGAGTAAAAATTTTGTTATTGCTTCCTGTCGTCATTTTATCTGCCTTTTGCCTAGAGTACAGCTGTGCCTCTTGAAGAGTAAACATCACATTCACCTCAAAGAATTTTCTGGTGTGAGATGGTATCTCATTGTGGTTTTGATCTGCATTTCTCTGATGGCCAGTGATGATGAGCATTTTTTCATGTGTTTTTTGGCTGCATAAATGTCTTCTTTTGAGAAGTGTCTGTTCATGTCCTTCGCCCACTTTTTGATGGGGTTGTTTGTTTTTTTCTTGTAAATTTGTTTGAGTTCATTGTAGATTCTGGATATTAGCCCTTTGTCAGATGAGTAGGTTGGGAAAATTTTCTCCCATTTTGTAGGTTGCCTGTTCACTCTGATGGTAGTTTCTTTTGCTGTGCAGAAGCTCTTTAGTTTAATTAGATCCCATTTGTCACACCAGTTAGAATGGCAATCATTAAAAAGTCAGGAAACAACAGGTGCTGGAGAGGATGTGGAGAAACAGGAACACTTTTACACTGTTGGTGGGACGGTAAACTAGTTCAACCATTGTGGAAGTCAGTGTGGCGACTCCTCAGGGATCTAGAACTGGAAATACCATTTGACCCAGCCATCCCATTACTGGGTATATACCCAAAGGACTATAAATCATGCTGCTATAAAGACACATGCACACGTATGTTTATTGCGGCATTATTCACAATAGCAAAGACTTGGAACCAACCCAAATGTCCAACAATGATAGACTGGATTAAGAAAATGTGGCACATATACACCATGGAATACTATGCAGCCATACAAAATGATGAGTTCATGTCCTTTGTAGGGACATGGATGAAATTGGAAATCATCATTCTCAGTAAACTATCGCAAGAACAAAAAACCAAACACTGCATATTTTCATAGGTGGGAACTGAACAATGAGATCACATGGACACAGGAAGGGGAATATCACACTCTGGGGACTGTTGTGGGGTGGTGGGAGCGTGGAGGGATAGCATCGGGAGATATACCTAATGCTAGATGACGAGTTAGTGGGTGCAGCACACCAGCATGGCACATGTATACATATGTAACTAACCTGCACAATGTGCACATGTACCCTAAAACTTAAAGTATAATAAAAAAAAAAATTTTCTGACAACGCTTGTAGTCCCTAGGACAGAATTTATATTTTTTCCTACTCTAATGCTACACTATTCAAATTTCTATTACCTAATTTTTGGTAAGATAGTTGTTTTTACTTAAGCTTGGTTGCTTCAATCAGTGAGTGGAGTATATGTTGTATAATGAGTTACAGCCCTCAGAGTACAAAGTATAAATATAGCACAGGGCAGTGAATGGTATAGACATTAAAAAGCTTCTGAAGAAATACCTGAAATTTGATAATAAAATGCTGCTTTCCATACTAGTAACAGAATGGGAACTAATGAGAATTTAATTCCACTCATTTTCTGGTACCAAACATTTACTTGAGCCATGCCTCTAATTAGAAGTCTCATCTTAACATGTCAGGAAATATTGAAGTTTTAGATATGTTTGCTAGAGTCCAGTGTATTTATTATGCAATCTCTTCTATATCAGTTCCACACTTACAGAAGTATAACGATCCAAGGTAGCTGGACATAAAACACACAAGAAAAATTAAGTATTAAGTTCTTATATCTTTTTTCATTCTTCAATCATTTCCAAACCTTGACTCACACAGGTGTCTACAACTTGAGCCTGTTTCTTTTTTCAGTATAATCTGATTCAAATTTGATTGTGTTGGCTTCTTTCTACTATATTAGCAAACCTTTAGCCCCTTTAAATAAATATTAATAATATCATCCATATAATAAGGTTGTTGCAAGATTTAAATGATATTTATTTAAAAGTTTATCCAAGTCCCCCCCGGAAGTTACAATCCAATAATGGTAAGCTATTTGTATGCTTACTATCGATATTGATACCACTACAGTTGCTACAGATGCTGCTGCTGCTGTTACTATTGCTATCAGTAATTGATAAACTAGAAAATAGGAGCAATCTTTGTATCTTGGCTTGGTATACAATGTTGCAATTTTTTTAATTTTTTGCTTCTTTATTCTCTAAGCCTTCCTCCTTGTATCTTTATTCTCCTCTTTTTTTTCAAAACCAGTTACTTATTAATTCTAGTAAAGTACCATTGTCCTCGCTCTTTATTCAGTTTACTTGCCTGCTTTACTCTGAAGCTAAATTTTCGTAAACTCTTGGAAAATGGCTAGAGATTAAGAGGAGGTAAGGATCTGCCATAGAAGAAAACAGCTAAACTGGTAGCACTTATGAAGGAAAACCTATAAAGATAAAAATATAAAGACTCAACTAAGAAAATGAAAGCATTGAAATAATAATTGTTATAATAATTATTATTATTAATATTTTGAGACAATGTCATGCTCCACTGCCCAGGCTCAGGTGCAGTGGTATAATCAGAGCTCACTGCAGTGAGCTATTATCAAACTCCTGGGCTCAAGCCATCCTCCCACCTTGGCCTCCCAAAGGGCTGGGATTAAAGGTGTGAGCCATCATACCCAGTCTTGATTGTCAGGTTATTAGACAGGTACTTGATGTAAATACAATTGATGAATCCATTTAAAATTAGCTTCATTCATTAGACAAAAGCAATATATCAATTTAATTTATTTAAATAGACCAATTAGGTAAACAAGGCACCTCTAGAATTAAAGAGAAATAAACACAAATGGACCACCTTGTAAATGATGTATAACCACAAACTGAGAAGATATTTTAAAAATAAGTACAATTAATATGAGATAAATGAGCTAACAAATGTCAGACTCACAATAAAAAAGATCATTTTTAACCAAATCCTGTAGTGATACAATGGTGTAATGTGTTTTCTTCTTTATTATTAAGTGCAATTTTTATATTATTTTTTGATAATAACTAAACACTGTTTACATAAGACAAAGATAAAACAAAGCACTCTAATTTATTAGAAAACTTTGATATTACCAGGTTTTTGTTAATGAACACCCATGAGAACCATGTCCAGGTCTTCTCAGGATGAAGAATAGAATTTTAAAGTGTTAATTGTCATTACAGAGGCTAAGAGAATGGTATAGGATTTCATTCACAGCAAGAAAAATTAGAGTAAAGCAGAAAATTGTAATTATTATCCACCATAACCCCAAGTGAACATACAAACAATGAGCAGGCTGAACTCAATTAATGTTTATCTTTTTGGAATCTCTTTAATAGATAATCCTGGGTTTTTTAAATCACAATAATGCTTTTAATTCAGTTTGTTGTCATTGATAAAAAGCATGTGAGTTTATCAAAGAGATATAAGAATTTTAAATATTCTGATTACCTCCAAAACCAAACAGATGAAAATACTTTTATATAATACTGTGTTATTCATATTGATAAAAGTAAGCTGGAATGAATTGTGATACATTAAAGATTTACTCTGTAGTGGGCTGGGTATGGTGGCCTCACGCCTGTAATCCCAGCACTTTGGGAGGCTGAGGCGAGCAGATCACCTGAGGTCAGGAGTTCGAGACCAGACTGACCAACATGGGGAAACCCTGTCTCTAATAAAAATACAAAAAAATTAGCTGAGCATGATGGTGCATGCCGGTAATCCCAGCTACTCAGGAGCCTGAGGCACGAGAATCACTTGAACCCAGGAGGCAGAGGTTGCAGTGAGCCGAGATTGTGCTACTGCACTTCAGCCTGGGCAACAGAAAGACTCCATCTCAAAAAAAAAAAAAAAAAAAAGATTTGCTCAGGTTATTCACAATATGTTTATAAATCAAAAGATGTTACAATGATTATCCAAAATATGTTTATAAATCAAAAGATGTTACTATGACAATTCATTTTTCACTTTGGGATTCTCAAGTATTTTAATTCACTAATGCTTCTTTGTAAGTATTTACTGGGTGCATTTATAAGAGCATATGCAGCTAAATGTTTCTAAACACATAAAAACACAATTTTGGCTCCATTTTAAATATTGTTTGTTAAAATTCTAATTTTTACATCTAATTTATAAGGAATTGGTGCCATTGTTGGTCATAACATTTGAAACTTTAATATTTTGAGAATCATTTTTCAAATAAAGATTTTAATATTTAATTTTTATGGAAATATAATAGATGTGTATATTTATGGAGTATATGACATATTTTGACATAGTCATAAATATGTAATAAACATATCAGTGTAAATGGGGTGTCTATCCTATCTCCTCAACCATTTAACATTTCTTTGTGTACACACATTCCAATTATACTCTTAACTATTTTTAAATATACAATAAATTATTTTTTACTATAGTCATCCTGTTGTACTGTTAAATATTAAATCTTATTAATTCAATCCAACTATACTTTTGTACCCATTCACCATGCCCATTTCTCCTTACCTACCCACTACCTTTCCTAGTCTCCTGTAACCATCATTCCACTCTCAAACTCCATTAGTTCAATTGTTTCAAATTTTAGCTTACACAACTGTGTGATGACATGTGAAGTTGGTGTTTCTGTGCCTGGCTTATTTTACTTAACATAATGTCCTAACATGCCATTCATGTAGTTGCAAATGACAGGATCTCATTCTTTTTCCTGGCTAAATAGTACTCCATTGTGTATATGTACAGCATTTCTTTACCTATTCTGCTATTGGTAGACATTTAGGTTGCTTTCAATTCTTTCCTCCCATTTCCAAAGGCAGAGGAACCTCATCCTGTGGCCACCACCACAGGCTATTGTGAATAGTGCTACAATAAACACAGGAGTTCAGTTATCTCTTTGATACACTGATTTCCTTTACTTGGGTATGTACCTAGCAATGGGACTGCTGGATCACATGGTAGTTCTATTTTTAGTTTTTTTGAGGAACTTCCATACTGTTCTCCATTGTGGCTGTACTAATTTACATTTGCACTGACAGTGTATGAGGCCTCCCACTTCTCCACATCCTCACTGGCATTTTTTATTGCCTGTCTTTTGGATAGAACTCATTTTAACTATGGTGAGATGACATCTTATTGTAGTTTTGATTTGCATTTATCTGATAATTAACAATGTTAAACACCTTTTCATATACTTGTTTCTCATTTGCATGTATTCTTTCAGAAATACCTATTTGGATCTTTTGCCCATTAAACTTTTTGTTGTTTCTATGTATATCTTATTATACTGTCTAGGTCTTCAAAACTCGTTTTAGTTATTATTTTGATATGTTAAACATTTAGTCTTTCTACTCAAGATATGAGTAGTTTACCCACCACAATTACTGTGTATAACATTCTGCATTTGTCTGTGTACTTAATATTACCAGTGAGTTTTGTACCTTTAGAGGATGTCTTATTACTCATTAATGTCCTTTTCTTTCAAATGAACTCTCTTCAGCATTTCTTATAGGACAGAGTGAGTGTTGATGAAATCTCTCACCTTTTGCTTTCTAGGAAAGTCTATTTCTATCTCTCCTTCATGTTTGAAAGATATTTTCCATGGATATACTATTCTGGGATAAAAGCTATTTCCCCCTGCTTTAACACTTTAAATAAGTAATGCTACTCTATCCTGACCTATAATTTTTCCAGTGAGAAGCCTGCTGCCAGATGTATCAGAGCTCCTTTGTAGGTTACTTACTTTGTTTCTCTTGGAACTTTCATAAATCTTTCTATATCCTTGATATTTGGGAGTCTGATTATTTACTTTTTTGTGGTAGACTTATTTGGGTTAAATCTGCTTGATGTTTTAAAATTGCCTTGTACTTGAATAATAATATTTTTCTCTAGGTTTAGGAAGTTATCTGTTATCCCTTTGAATAAACTTTCTACTCTAATCTGTCTACCTCCTCTTTAAAGCCGATAGCTTTTATATTTGCCCTTTTGAGGTTATTTTCTAGATCCTGTGGGTGCGTTTCATTTCTTTTTATTTTTTTCTTGTCTCATCTGACTGTATATTTTCAAATAGTCTATCTTCAAGCTCACAAATTCGTTATGTGGCTTGATCTATTCTGCTATTAAAGCACTCTAATGCATTCTTTAGTATGCCAATTGCATTTTTCATCTCCAGAATTTCTTGCTTGATTTTTTAAAATTATTTCGATCTCTTTGTCAAATATGTCTAATAGAATTCAGAATCCCTTTCCTGTGTTATTTTAATTTTTTTTTAGTTTTCTAGAAATAGTTGTTTTGAATTGTCTGTCTAAAAACTCACATATCTCTGTTTTTCCAGGATTAGTCCCTGCTGCCTTATTTAGTTCATTTGGTGAGGTCATGTTTTCCTGAATGGGGTTGATATTCGTAGACGTTCATCTGTGTCTGGGCATTGAAGAGTTAGGTATTTATTGTAGCCTTCACTCTCTGTGCTTGTTTTGGACCTGTCCTGCTTGGAAAGGCTTTCCAGATATTCTAAAGAACTTGAATATTGGGAACTAAAGTGTATCTGCTTCAGGGATCACCCCAAGCTCAGTAACGCCCTGGTTCTTGCAGACTCTGAGAGTACTGCCTAGATGGTCTTGGACAAGTTACGGGAGAAATCTCTGGATTATCAGGCAAGACTCTTGTTCTTTTCCCTTCCTTTCACCTAAAAATCTCTTGATGTTTGTGCAGAAATTATAAACGAGAGATTACACTTTTGATTGTCACTAGCTTTTCCCCTTGATAGATTCTCCCAGGTCTTTTGTGAAACCACCAGGGTGATACCTCTAAAAGTCTGCAAAGGTCAAAGCATTACTGAGCTTGGAGTGCCCCCTAATGCAGATAAAACTACAGTGACCAAAGACTTAGACCACAACTCTCAATTTCCTTTGAATAGTTGGGAAACTTCCCCAAGAAGGTTGATATTTGGTTTTAGTATTATCATCCTAATTATCCCTTTCATTTTTGAAGGATGAGTACAAACAAGCACAGAGTGTGAAGATTACAATAAATACCCAACTCTTCAATACCCAGGCATGAGGAACATCCACAATCTTCAAGACTATCCAAGAAAACAGAGTCTCTCTCTCTCCATGTTGAGGATACTGGAGCTGGGGGCAATTTGACACCCCTGTGGCCACCACCACTGGGACTGTGCTAGGTCAGACCAGAAGCCAGCATAGCACTGGGTTTCACTCAAGGCCTCGTGTGACCACTGCCTGGCTACCACTGATGTTTACTCAAGAACCAAGGGCTCTTTAGTCAGCAAATGGCTTACCCAGACAGGCTGTGTCTTTCCCTTCAGGGCAGCGAGTGCCCCACTGGCTCAGGCTGGGATGAGAAATGCTATAGGGGAGCCAGGGCCTGGAATCAGAAACGTTAAGATTTATCTGTGGCTCTAGTCTACCATGGCTGAGCTAGCACTCAGGCTGCAAGACAAAATCTTTCCCACTCTTCTCTCTCTTTTCCTGGAGCAGAAAGATTTCTCATCATGGTAACCACTACCCCAGGCCTGTGCTGAGTACTGCCTGGCTAACATCAATGTTAACTCAAGGCCCAAGGGCTCTTCGGTCAGCTTACGAAGAATGCTACCAGGCCCCAGTCTCTCCCTTCAGCGTAATGGGCTCTCCTCTGATTCAGGTTGGTCCAGAAGTGCTGTCCAAGCACCAAGTCCTGGAATTGGGTACCTCAGGATCTCTCTTGGTATTATATCCCTCTGTGGCTGAGCTGGCACCCAAGTTGCAAGATTTGGAGAAGAGTAAAGATCTCCCTTTATTCTTTTCTGTCATTTTCTCAAACAGGAGCCTCTCCTTGCGGCCACCATGGGGTCCAATGGTACTTTATTGAGAAGGTGATGTATCCTGCCAGGACTGCATTAGTCCCTTTGAGGCCATGCAGTCCCTTCTGGCCCAGAGTGTTTCCAGATACGTCATCCAGGAACTAAGGCCTGGAATGCGGACCATGGGAATTTGCCTGGTGCCCTATTCCACTGTGGCTGAGCTAACATCCAAGATGCAAGACAAAGTCTTTTTACTCTTCCTTCTCCTCTGGAAGGAATCTTTTCCAGAACTGGGATCTGCACTTCCAGGAGTTAGGGGAGGGGTGACATGAGCATGCCTTTGCCCATCCAGCTGGTGCCTCACTGGGTTACGTGCACCCCAAGGCCACTGGCTTCAGGCCCAGTATAACACCAGGACTTGCTCAGGAATTGTAGACCTTGCAGCCTAGACTGTCTTCCAAGTTTATTTGGGACCCCAAAAAAAACTTTAGCTAATGGTGACAGGGCTTGTCAGGACTCAGGCTCCAATCTCAGGGATGGGCAATTCACTTCTGCCTAGAGTTGGTCTCAGTGCTCCCTCTGTGGGTGCCAGCTGGATTCTGCCTCATGTTGCTTTTCATTGTGACAGGGCAGGATTGTGTTCCAATGCAAAGTCCCACAGTCACTGCCCTCTCCCTCCTCTAAGCATATAGACTATTTCTCCATGACATGTGGCTGCTGCTGGGGAATGAGGAAGCGTTGGTGTCAACAATTAAAGACTGTCTTTTCTACCTTCTTCAGGGCCTCTCTCCTTAACATAATGATAAAACCAGATACTACGATCTCTCACCTGATTTTAAACGAGTTCTGTCCCCTAAAAGAGTCATTGTAATTGTTTTACCTTCAAGAAGTCCTAATTTTTAAGGGCTTTCAACTTATTAAGTTAGGCTCACCCAAGATAATTTCCATTTTAATTAACTCAAAACCAACTGATTTGTGCCCTTAATTACATCCGCAAAATTACTTCACTTTGATATGTTCTATTGGCTAGCAGTGAGTCACAGATTTTGCCCCCACTCAAGAGGGGGTTAATATAAAGTGTATGACCAGTAACTGGTGGAGATTATCCTCGTGTCCACTTACACTTTGTCTGCCACAAACCTAATACATATCTAGACAAATTCACCAATATCAAAAATGAGGGAATATATTTCTAAAGAGTCCACGCATCAAAGAAAAAATATAAGGAAAACTGAAGAAACATTTTGAATGAAATACTAATAAAGACACAACATATTAAAATTTGTGAAACACCCTTAAAGTAGTGTTCCACAATAATTTATGATATAAATTATTCAAAAATTTATATTAAAACATTTTTAAATATAAAAAACTTATATTAAAAAAGGCTCCAAAAGCAATTTTTGCAGTCATCATGGAAACCTAAATAGATAAAACAATGAAAAAAAGAAGGTGGAAATTAAACCCAAAATAAACAAATGCAAAAATTTCACAAGTTTAAATGTTTTAAAGTGCTCACAAGACTCTTAGAAGCATATTTATGTAAAGCTTTAACAAAAAAGCAAAAGATATGCTATAGCAAAAGAGAGAGAATGCAAGCAAGCATTGGGGAGTCTTAAGAGTCATCCAGGTGTAAACTTAGATGGAATCCCCAATATCTATACAATAAATCTTGGCTTCAGAAGAGCTCAAAGCAGAAGTATCTTTTCATGTTGTTTTGTTTGTTTGTTTGTTTGTTTGTTTTTAAAGCCCTTATGGTCACTTCAGGAAGCCAAGTTCTCAAACTGGTTATGCTAGGTGAAAACCAACAATACACAAAGTAGCTCTGGGTGTGTCACTTTCATGGTATTTGTAGAAAGAGCTGGGATTCACATTAATTATTTTTGTACAAATAAATGATTTGGGAGAATTTGATAGGGGACAAATTTCTGTATCTAAGTTAATTGTTCTACAATAGTATGATTGTGCCTGCCAGGCAATATTTGACAATGTTTTGAGATTCTGTTAGTTGTCACAAGAGAGAAGCAAGGTACTACCTGTCGCAGGAAGGAGGGGGGGTTGCAAATGTATTATGTTTAATATCATGCTGGTGCCAATCAGTATGCTAAATATAATATATTTGCAAACCAGCCCAGCATCAAAAAGAAGTATCTGACCCAAAAACTAAAACTGACCATGTTGATAAACTGATTGAAGTTAAAACATGTCAACAAAACAAAACAAACATTATAACCAGAATCTAGAGTTCAGAACAGTGGAGGCTTAAGGTAGATATATATAGTTTTAGTAAAAATTTCTGGGAAAGTTTATATTTTCAAAGACTGTGAAATTGGTGAGTTATTAGAGTGGCTACCAGATATTTCCATGCAAGATCAAAGTAAATATAATATTACACTAAAATGATGTCTGTGATATAATGAAAGGTTCGACTTGGAAAAAAGACTACAGAGAAAGAAGGAGAGAACAGAGGCTGGAGAGATGGGTGTGAATAGAGAAAACAATTGGCAAGATAGTGAAGGGGAAGGTTCACCTTCCTTTTGTGTCCTATGTCTAATTCTCAAGAACACTTTGTGGTTGTTTCAAAATCCTGCCTTGTGGGACCAGAACTCTGTTCTGCAGCAAGCTTTCTCAGTGCCTCATTGCCTAAGGCAACACTTCACTGCGGATTATGGAAAACTGTCTCTTTAGTCTGAGGATCAGTAGTGCCCATGCCTGAGCACAAGCTCAACTGCATAGAGCTTTGATTCTTTCTACTTCTTCTTGTGTATAGTAGATCACCTCTTTCAGTTTATCCATTACTAACATATGAAACAAATATTTGTGAAATATCTGTACAGCAGTCAAGACCCCTCGGCCTTGTTCCACTTCCCACTTTTTATAAATTCATTATGTTGGCCAAGCCGACTCATATTTTATTGGTTCAAATCCAATCATATAGCCCCTCTTAAATGCAGAAAGGAATATAAATGTAATCTAGCTATAATCCCATAAGGAAGGGGAAGGATAATTGGTAACCTTCTAGTAAACAAACTGATAACACCTTTACTGAGAACCAAATCTATCATGAGGGAAAGCTATTGACAATCAAAAGTGTAATCTCTCATTTATAATTTCTGCACAAACATCAAGAGATTTGGTTTTAGTATTATCATTTAATTATCCCTTTCTCTTTTGAATTTACACCTTTCCCTTTTGAATTTACAAGTTAAATTTTATTCCTTCTTGTTGAAATAAAAAAAATCTACTGTATATAAAATATATATAAAAATATAGAAAAAGGGAAAAATTCTACTATATATAATACATATAAAATATACATATAAAACGTAGTCTTTGCTAAGACTATATATATATATATATATATATAGACAAATTTTTTAGAAAACTATTGCTGTTTCTTAAGCTAAGATTTGGGCATTTGATCACATGTTCAAAGAGAAGCAGGAATCTTGTATTTATTTTGTTAGTCCTTTTATATTTAGCATTAATATAACTTTATAGCCATCCTGGAGATACACAGCATTTACCATATTTTTAATGTAATTAAATAAAAGCTTAGAAAGTTAAAAAATCTGACTGCAGTTTTGCAGCACAGTGCCTCGTAGGCAAGAGAGGTATTTGTTGAATGAATGAGTAAATATGTCAGAGCCGAAGTCAGAGCCTAAAGCAAGACCTGACTCCATGATTCATGCTCTTCAACTATAACTCACAGCTGACATTTTATAAATATTCTGAAAAAATGGCTGTATTCCCATAAAGCCAACAACTATCAGTAGTAATGTTCTTTCCTTTTATTTCCAGAATCTTCATGTTGGTATTTTTCCCCCACAATATTTCTGCTTCAAATACAGTACAGAGAATTTTTCATGTATAAATAAGCCATGATTTTCACTTCAAAACGGCTTCTATAATTCTCAAGAATGTTTGACAACTGACCGTACCTGTGCATATTTAGGATAATTTTAAAAGTGTATATCAAACTCAGCTTTTTGAAACAATTCTTCATGAATAAGGAAAATATTTGAAAGCTACTGTCTTATCTAAGAAGTATTTGAATTATCATTTACATCTTGAATTTGATTTGTGCATAATGTAGTCATTTAAGTATAGTATCAATCACATCTAACAATTGCAAATATTTGTAGAAATGTTTGCTTTACTTTCTTCACATATTCATCTTTAGTTGAAAGTTCATTTATTGAATTAGTGATTTTAAAATCACCTTGACATTTGGAGAGATTAGAAACTGCAAGAGATATTTTGTGCAAGTGAATACAGTAAAAGTTTTGTGAGGTGGTCAATATATCCATATGTCATCTCACCTTTCTTGGCTGCGCTTGAAGGTAGAATCCCAGAACCAGAGAGGCTCTCTTGTATGCTCAATGGAATCTGGGAATCTTTTGGAAAAGACTATATATATATTTATATATATATATATATATATAAGACTATATATATATTTATATATATATAAAAGACTATATATATATTTATATATATATAAAAGACTATATATATATTTATATATATATAAGACTATATATATATTTATATATGTCTATATATAAGACTATATATATGACTATATATATATGACTATATATATGACTATATATATGACTATATATATATGACTATATATATATATGACCATATATATATATATGTATGGATCATGGCTCAACATGATCCCTACAGACTATCTTTGCACACTACTGGCCCATCCATATGAGAATATAAAAAACTCCCATATACACTTATTCAATAAGAGGATACTTATCTCCCACACATTTTATAACCGAGAAGGACCGCTTAATACTTCCTGCAATACAGATGTCTTCCCGAGGTAACTTATAGGATTGAATCTGCATAATTTAAAGACAATAAAGAGGAGAAAATTCCAAATCACCTATGATTCTACCACTAATAATTAACAAATGTTCAGGTGTTGTCACATGTGTCTCACATTACATTCACCTCGTACTCCACCGTCATCACCAACCACAGCATGAGAGAAATAATTAAAGTCTCTTCTGTTCTAATTTACTTGCCTATGTCTTTCACCTCCCCAGAATGTTATTCTCATGCATAATTTTTTCATTAAATATATTTATGAAAAATATATAGTATCACTTTGAATAATATTGATGCCTCATTTTTCAATATGTTCTAGTCCCTTGATATAATAGTAATTCATTTTAAATCTTATAAAATTTTCAATGTTTAGAAATTCCACAATATTTCACTCAATTTACCATTGATGGGGTTGAACTTATTTCCATGAATTTCAATACTAAGTTCTGTTCATTCCGCAGTAAATCCTGGTGCACCAGTAGAAGCACTGCTTATTAAATGAATAACTGTCATTTAAGGTAAAATATAATTCTCTATGCTAAATCTATGCCATTATTTATCATACTGTCTTCTTACATAAAATGCTTCATCATTGATACCTACTCAAGGAGTTAGTGTATAGAAGGAGTCATTGATATCGGAGCATGTTAGCACAATAGACCTAAGTAACGACTAATCTATAGGATGATCAATGATCTATGAAGTGGCCTAGAATAAAAGGCAATACCCAACTAATACTTATTAGCTGAGTTGATAAAATATGTTGTCTGGAATTTTAATTTGGATTATAGATAAAATGCCTTCTTGTTGACGGCATGCTGGAAAGAAGCACATAAAATGTAGGTGAATTATGTCAGTGACAAGACACAAGAAGGAAAGTCTTCAAACCCCTGTTGCTGAAGTATCTAGAGCAAGTCTTGACTTTAAAACCACCAGTACTAAGAACACTGAATAAGATAATAGAACACTATGCTCCTATACAGAAAAAAAAAAAAGTAATAAGAAGTATATATACAGGTATATGTTGGAGATATTGCAGGTTTGCTTCTAGACCACTGCAATAAAACAAGTACTTCAATAAAGCAAGTCACACAAATATTTTGGTTTCCCAGTGTATATAAAAGTTATGTTTAGACTATAATACAGTCTAAGTGTGCAATAACATGTCTAAAAATGTACATATATTAATTAAAAACGCTTTATTGCTAATAAATGCTAATGATCACCTGAATCTTCAGTGAGTTGTACATTTGTTTGCTGGTACAGGGTAGTGCCTCAGTGATGATGACTCCTGACTAATGGGGTGGTTTCTGAAGGTTGGAGTAGTTGTGATAATTTCTTAAAATAAGAAAACAATGAAGTTTGCAACAATGATTGACTCTTCCTTTCACAAAGGATTCCTCTGCAGCATGTGATGCTGTTTGATAGAAATTTCACCTATGGTAGAACTTTAAAAATTGGAGTCAGTCCTCTAAACCCTGCTGTGCCTTTACTGACTAGGTTTATATGGCATTCTTAATTATTTGTTGTCATTTCAACAATGTTCACAGCATCTTCACCAGGAGTAGATTTCATCCCAAGAAACCATTTACTTTGCTGTTGCGTAAGAAACAACTTCTCGAGGCCGGGCACGGTGGCTCACACCTGTAATCCCAGCACTTTGGAAGGCTGAAGTGGGTGGATCACCTGAGGTCAGAAGTTCGAGACTAGCCTAATTAACATGGTGAAACCCTGTCTCTACTAAAAATAAAAAACTTAGCCGGGTGTGGTGGCGGACACCTGTAATCCCAGCTACTCAGGAAGCTGAGGCAGGAGAATCACTTGAACCCGGGAGGTGGGGGTTGCAGTGAGCTGAGATCGCACCATTGCACTCCAGCCTGGGCAACAAGAGCAAAACTCTGTCTCAAGAAAAAATAAAAATAAAAAAATAAAGAAAAAAAAGAAAGAACTTCTCATTCCTTAAAATTTTATCATAAGATTGCAGCAATTCAGTCACATCTTCAAGCTCCCATTTAAATTTTAGTTCTCTTTCTATTTCCATTGCATCCATAGTTACTTGACCACTGAAGTCTTGAACCACTCAAAGTCACCCATGAGGTTGGAATCAACTTCTTCCAGACCTCTGTTAATGTTGCCCCCTCTCATGAATCATGAATTCTATTTTTAGGGCACACACAGAGTAGATTTAGCATAATTCTTAAAGGCTTTAGGATATTTGAATGATAAATAAGCATTGGCTTTTACTTAAAGTTGCTGGCTTCATTGACCCTTAACAGGAGAGTCAGCCTGTCCTTTGAAGCTTTGAAGCCAAGCTTTGACTTCTCTTCTTTTGCTATGAAAATCCTAGATGGCATCTTTTTCCAATAGAAGGCTGTTATGTCTACATTAAAAAATCTGTTGTTGGCTGGGTGCTGTGGTTCACACCTGATATCCCAACACTTTGGGAAGCCAAAGCAGGGGGACTGCTTCAGCCTAGGAGATCAAGACCAGCCTGGGCAATATAGTAAGACCTCATCTCTACAAAACAATTAAAAATTAGCTAAGCATGGTGGCAGGGGCCTGTAGTCCCAGCTACTCAGGAGGCT
This sequence comes from Homo sapiens, assembly GCF_000001405.40. Lineage (NCBI taxonomy): Eukaryota > Metazoa > Chordata > Mammalia > Primates > Hominidae > Homo > Homo sapiens. Next base: position 103,176,850 of record NC_000009.12, read on the forward strand.
GAGGTGGGAGGGTTACTTAATCCCAGGAGGTGGGGGCTGCACTGACTGGAAGTCACACCACTACACTCCAGTCCAAGCATCAGAGTGAGACCCTGTCTCAAAATAAATAAATAAAATAAAGAAAGAAAAGAAGAGAAAAGAAAAAAAAGACAATCTGCACTTGCTGCCTCTCCTTGCATTTTTATGTTATGGTGATGACTTATTTCTTTAAACCTTGTGACCCAGCTTCTGCTAACTTCAAACTTTTCTTCTGTAGCTTCCTAACCTCTTTCTGCCTTTGTAGAATGGAGGACAGTTAGGTCCTTGGTCTGAATTAGGCCTTGGCTTACAGGAATGTTGGTGGCTGGTTTGGTCTTCTATCCAGACTATTAAAAATTTCTCCATATCTGCAATAAGGCTGCTTTGCTATCTTATCATTCATGTGTTCACTGGAGTAGCAATTTTAATTTCCTTCAAAGACTTTCCTTTGCATTAAAAACTTGGCTGTTTGATGCAAGAAGCCTAGCTTTCAATCTAACTCGAATTTTTACATGCCTTCTTCATTAGGTTTAAACATTTTTAATTTTTTATTTAAAGTAATAGACATTTGACTCTACTGACTTCACTTGAACACATGGAGGCCATTGCAGGGTTATTAACTGAACTAATTTTAATATTGTTGTGTATCCGGCAAGAAGAAGGCCCAAAGAAAGAGAGCCCTGGGGGAACAGACAGTCAGTGGAATAGTCAGGGCACACACATTTATCAGTTAATTTTGGCATCATATATGAATGAGCATGGCTCATTGCACCCAAAACAATGACAATAGTAAAATCAAAGATCGCCAAACATAGACCAACAAAAGAGGTATAATAATAATAAAGTTTGAAATAGTACAAGAACTACCAAGATGTGACACAGAGACGTGAAGTGAGCACATGCTGTTGGAAAAATGGCTTGCACAGGCTAGCTCCACACAGGGCTCTCAAAAACCTTCAATTTGTAAAAAAACAAACAAACAACAACAACAAACATTATCTGTGAAGTGAATATTATCAATGAATATTATCAATGAAGTGAAGTGTAGTAAAACTAGGTCTGCTTGTCATGCACTTTCATACATTGCTAATAGTGTGTTTCTATGAAACTACCCATGGTGAGCTGAATCTAAGTTGAAGTTATCAGTAAACAAAGTACATGCTAAGGCAGGCTTTCTGGACCATACTTGTCCTTTTGTAAGCTAGTGCAAGATTTATTCATCAAAATGGTTAAAGGAGGCTTGGCTGTCTGGCCAACAAAAGATTTTAGGAACAATCAGAAACTCAGGTGTGGAACCAATTGCTTCCCCAAAGTACTAATAATATGATTTTACAATCATGTAAGATAATTTAGAAGATTTTCTGTGTTACTAAAGCCAAGCAGATTTAACTGTTAGAAAGTCGTTCCTTATTTTGAGATGGAATCTGTCTCCCTGTCACCATTTCTACATCTTTTCCTCTTAGAAAGTTTCCTAAACTCTGTTTTACTACATGCACCCCAAGACCAGCACTGTACATTCCTTGGATATTCTCGTGGGAATATAGGTTTCTGCCTCTTTTGCTCATAGACATAAGGCTAAATAAAATGATGGTATGCTTTAAGAAAAAAAAAGCAAATTTACTCAGAACAAATATGGTCAATGTTGAAGAGATTTGGAATTGTTCCCAAACAATTTGGATTCCCCTGAGTTCACTGACATTATTGTTAATGTTAAATTACATGGAAAGGAATATAAAAACTTGATAAAATTTCCTTATTTGGTAGGTATGTCTCTTCCCTTTGCTATTCTTGCAGAAGTGTAAACAAAATACTTCTATGTGCCATCAATGTAAGTCTAGAAGAATCAAACAAGGCTTCACTAAATTCAATGAATTTGTTAATAAATAACAAGTGGTGGTGATTTGCAGTATGCCATACACATGGATATCTTGCTTGGAAGGATGATATATTTCATGAAATCAAATATTCCTAGTTTTATACATGAGACCTCAGCAAGAAAACAAAAAAGACTTCTTGGGTACTCTCATATTTCCATTCTTAAATCTTTCTTTGCCCACCTCTGACCTGGATTTGTCTTCCTTTTCCAGGAGCCATACCCTGAAGATGAAGACATTAACCTTCCACTTAGCTGCAATGTCTCCACTGAGACATTATTTAGTATTTCCCATATAGTATTCATTTCCCGTCTATGTAAAGTTCTTAACTGTATCTCCAGTGCTTATTATAACATAATATAGTATACTATAACAATCAAAACCTTGGATAATCATTTCCTCAGTTCTCTAGCCACCAGGATTAAGTAGCTTTACTCTCTTTAAAGTTATGGGATTTGCTTCTACATCAGATTTGCCTAGGCTTTAGAACTATTTATTTTAATTTATTATTTTTTAATTTAACTTTTATGTTCAAGTGTACATATGCAGGCTTATTATACAGATAAACTTGTGTCATGGGGTTTTGTTGTACAGATCATTTCATCACCCAGGTGTTAAGCCTAGTACCCATTAGTTATTTTTCCTGATCTTCTTCCTGCCACCATCCACCCTCTAATAGGCCCCATTTTCTGTTGTTCCTTTCTACGTTCCATATAGAATTTTTTTTTCCAGTCAGATTTAGTTAGATTCGCAAAAACTATTTTGGCCATTTTCTATTTCAAAGCATGTGCACACACATACACACACAAATAATATTAGAAATACTCAATGCATAGATCTTTTGCTCAGTCCTTTAAACATTTAAAACAATATACAATAGTAAATATTGTATAATTGAAGCTTGTAAAACATAAGCAGGATCTATGTAGTTACTGAATTTTAGTGGCTTAACATCCATACATGTGCAGACAAACAAAGTCATTTCTTACTAACAAAACAATACTGGGAAAGTTACCAGCCTCTGGATTATACATATTCATGCATTCACTCAGGGATCAAGCTTGACAGAGACTGCCATCTTCAATGCATAGATTTCAAGATTAGGCTAGGAATTCACACTGAAGTTGGCAAGAAGGGAAAAGATCATGGAAGAGTTAAGAAGAGTCTCATCATTCAAGGCCTGTAGTTGCTCTACATTATTATTATCTATATTGCATTTCCTATAACTCAGTCATATCATAGTTCTCAGCTGCAAGGAAGATTGAAAATGGGCAGCTATCTAGTAACAACTCTATGCTGTGGAAGGGGGTGCACATATTTCTGATGGCTAGCTCTGTCTGCTACAGTGATCAATCAGCTATTCCTGGGTCATGGTTGAGACTGAATAAAGTTTGTTATGCTCAAATGTTGTATTGCAAGAACTATTATTATATGTTTGTTCAAAGTGTTTTAAGCTCTCTAAATATTTAAATGCATGTAATGATGCGTAAAATGGTGAAAATGCAAAGGTAATTCCATACTATATCCTGCTATTCCACATAGCATCTCGTTCTAACATATTTTAAATTGACTTAAGCCTGAGTAGCTAACCTGATTAAATCCATGTATGTGCCAGTTGCTTATACAAACTGGTGTATTCTGAATTGCAAAATAAGCAGATGCCTCAAAAATAATATTTTGAATATACACTTTTATCACAAATTGAGAACTTTACCACAAATTAAATAGCCACGTGGTATATTTACTATGGCCAACTTAGTTTTAGTACTAAACCAATTATTTCATTATTTTAAATATATAAAAGTACCCATCTGCAATAAAAACGGTTTTGGTTTAATCCTTTTCAAACTTGTTTACCACAACAGATAATTTTATGGCTGCTAATAGGCATAGCTATATGTCAAAGAAATACTTATTTAGATAATTACACGAGAACACATTAACACACAATTATTAATATATTAATACTAATCACACATTTTACCTACTAAAAAGATAATTATGTTAATAAAGTGTTAAACTTGTTCACATGATAAATTAACCCTGCATAATGCAAGGTGTTTGTTAATAAATTATTTATTTCAAAGTGTACTTCTTTATTGAAGCAATGTAGGAAAAACTGATAGGAAAATCTCACCTACTATGTAACAAAGATGACAGGTTGCCCTATGAATCTGATTTATAAGAACTAACAAAATATGACAACCTTGAGAAAAGGGTAAAAAACAAATTGAAATGCAAGATAATCCAATTTTAGGAGACTTTAGGTCATGCTTTCCTGAAATTCATGGCTTGTGTCCTAAATCTAACACTAGTTAGACATTACAAGGTATTTTTTCTAAGTTAAATGTGTACATCAACAGGTGCAGTGATCTAAGGTTTTTAAAAGTAAGATCTAAAATCCCATGCTATTTCTGTGGAAAAGATAAAGATGTGCGCTATAGCCTATGAGGCTACACAGGAAGGGCATAGTTTTTTCCTTTCTCCTATAGCCATGTTAGTTTATTAAAAAAAAAAAAATGAGGAACATGGCTTCGCTTTGACCTTTTCCTTCCTGGGTTCTAAGTCTGTTGTTAAAATGAACCCTTCTGACTAAGTGTCTTACATAACATTTTATTCGTAACAACAGTTTTCACACACTTACAGGTTAATCTCAATTGTGATGACTAATGCCTCCTTATTAATCTTACCTTTTGTGGGTGTATCACAATTTACTTAAATAATAAATGGCAATAGATGTAGAATTGGTTTGTTGGCTTGCTCATTTTGTTAATATGAACCATTCTCTGTTGAATATGCTTGCATAAAAACCTTCATGTGGCTGCTTGTTTTGTTTGCATTTTGAGTGTCATTTTTCATTGACTCTGGACCACGAACAATATTAATACCTCTAATTTTGTGTCATCACTGCTCCAAAAATCAATTTTGTGGCAACTTCCACAGAAGCCATAGTTGATTTACCTTGTTGTCATTAGTTCTTGATTGAAAATTCTGGGTGGATAAAGCCGTGTGATGGGGCTGAGGTCGCAAGCACTACCTGAACTGCCAAATGTTCTGAGAAAGCTTCCATTTTAGCTTCTGTGGGTGGGAACCAGCTCTGCTTTCCACCAAGACTTGTATGATGGGAAATTCCCCAAGTATTCCAAGATAATTTAGATGGTTAATAAAGGAGATGTCATTGAAAAGATATTAAATTTTCTGGCCTCAGATAAATTAATGTTTATGTTAACAGGTTTGATTTTTGGAAAGAACGTTTAAATGATTGTATGTTATCAAATTTATCAATTTTAAAAACCATTGATTTTACGTTTGAAAGATTTACCTGTAATCAGAAAAATATTTACCAAAGTTTCTGCTTAGGTATAATTTCATTTTTTAATATATTTTTATTAGACTATCAAAATACTTGAGTTTATGAATATTTTTGCAGCACTTCAGAGTGGTCTTATTAAAGTTGAAGGTTTTGAGTATTTTCAAAACAGTATAAATCTTTCTTGGAATAAGATTTCAATGTTGAAATAATACCATATATAAAAGATTATGTCCTACTTTGTTTCACTGAACTTCATATCAAAGTATTATTGAATTTCATCAGCAATAGTTATAAATTAAGTACAGAAAGATGTTTATTATTTTATGTGATACAAGAACCCTAAATTAGTTAAAAAGTTCCTTACTACTGTTCATTTAGAATATTACCAATAGTTTATTACTGATTATATATGAGGCACTGCTATATTTTGATAGCAGACAATGCATGATAAAATTTAATTTTCATGTTATTTGTACTTTACAGTTGAGATGAGAAAATGGAGGCATATAAAATTTAATAACATATCCAAAACGAATAAAAAATACATGGCCTACTAAAGATTTCAGTTTATCTATCTCTTTTTCTCTCTATATATAAGTATATACACACACACATACACATACACACACACACATAAACATATTTATACATATAAACATATATATAATAATCTGTTTTGTTCTCTATTAAAATTCTTGTTCTCCATTTAAATTATTTTTTAAAATTTATTAGTACATGTTGCCAATATACTTCCAGTAAAGTAGTGCTGTTTGTGTTCATTAAGATGAAATTGCTCAATATGTCCCTCTTCTTCCTTATTGATATTAATTATGAAAGTTTTTATTCTTGGTAATTTAAAACTCCAAATAACGTTTTTCTCCATTTCATTTTAACATCTCTTAAACTACTAGATTTAAACATATGAAATTGAGGCCGGGTGTGGTGGCTCACACCTGTAATCCCAGCACTTTGGGACACCAAGGTGGGCAAATCACCTGAGGTCGGGAGTTCAAGACGAGCCTGACCAAGGTGGAGAAACCCTGTCTCTACTAAAAATACAAAATTAGCCAGGATTGGTGGCACACGACTGTAATCCCAGCTACTCGAGAAGCTGAGGCAGGAGAATCGCTTGAACCCGGGAGGCGAAGGTTGTGGTGAGCAGAGATCGTGCCATTGCACTCCAGCCTGGGCAACAAGAGTGAAACTCTGTCTCAAAAAAAAAACAAAACAAGAAACACATGAAATTGCCAATATAGACTAATTTGACTAACAATGTTGGCAATTTTATATGATTCAATATTTTTTTCAGTTTTTCATATTTTAAAATCTCCTGTGACTTTTCCACTAAAGTTATTTTTTTGATACTGTCTTAGTATTTTTCTTATCAGCTTGTATGAGCTCTGCACATCCAAGTACAATAACTCTGTTGAGCTAATAAATAATTTGATGAGCAGAAACAGGAATTACAACATAGCACATAATACTAAAATTGTCAATGTAACAGATTAATGTTTTGAAGTAATTTTAATACTATCTAGAGATGGGTGGATGAGCAGATAGATGAAAGAACACTCACGAGACCATAGGCAGGTGAAATGTAGTTTTATTCAGCAGCTCTCCCATCAGCATCTCACTCACACTAGTTCTCTCACACTGTCCACCTTGTCTCAGCTGCTTAGTCTGGCAGCTCCCACACACAGCTGCCTGGCAGGCTCTCCCTTGCCTTCAGGGTCAGCAGCTTAACTCTTTCTCTCGTTGGGACCGAGTGAGCTGAGCTGTGTCCTGGCTCCCTGTCTTCTGCACAGACGGACAACTCTGACTCTCTCTTTCTCTGGGCACAAGCGTGCCTGTACAATGTCAGCAGGGCAAATTATACCTTTTACAGACAATATTGGCGTAGAGCCAAATGACGAGCCTTCTCATGCTATGCTACATGGCTGTGTTTACATTATACATGGAATTGTGCACCTGCTTTCCAAACTTGCTGAGTCACTCTGGCCCAGATGTCTGCCTCAGCCTATTCCTTGACCAAAGCACAGCCATGTTCCTTACACTTATATTAATACTAACATTAAAAGTTGATTACAAATGATACATGTTTTTATTAGGCTTTGAAAAACACCCTCAAAGGAATTAGCTAGATTCTGTTTAATTACTGAGCAAGAAATAGCTGACAAAGTTAAAAAGTCAACAAACCTTTTAATTAAACCCATTGGTTAAACAGGGAATCCCCAATGTATTTAGTCCCCTTTAATCTTGACATCTGTTACATAGCTATCAGCTACCAATTATTGCTGTAATTTGTGCTATTACTTATCACAGTGTGTATGTATACACAAATGTGTGTATGTATGTATACACGTAGTGCTTTTTGGCAATAAATTAATTCATGTGCCATAGTTTGCTATTTAAAGCCACCCTGTCTGCCCCTAGTCACTACCCACCAACATGTTTGCTGTTGCTAATGTACACAATATGATTCAAGTAAATGTATAAATGAATTACAACTATTTTAAATATACTATGTCAGAATATCCTCTTGATTTTCTAAGGTATCCATACATACTCCTATCTTACAGGGATTTCAAAAAGAGAAATCAAATGATTGATTATCTCAAACTATTAAGAGCCCACAGTTCACAGTTACAAAGAGCCAAATTCACTTCTAAGCTCTTCTGACATCAATATGTTCATAATATTTTTGAATTCTTACTAGATATCAAGTCCTCTATAAATGTTGTGGTAGACAGAATAATCCTCCTTCTCACTGGCAAGATGTCCACATCCCAGTCCCTGGAACATATGAATATATGTTATAGCCTATGGCAACAGGGACATTGCAGATGTTATTAAGATTGTAGGCCTTGAGATGGGAAGATTTTTCTTGACTACCAGGTGGGCCCAATGTAATCACATAAGTGATTAGAGTGATAAGAAGGACTCAATCCACCATTGATGGTTTTGAAGATGGAGAAAGGAAGCCACCTGCCTGCCAAGGAATGCAGGCAGACCCAACAAGTTTTAAGAGGCAAAAAAACTAGATTATCCCCTAAACCCTCCAAAATGGTTCTACCAACACTTGATTTTACTGCCTGTTGAACTTGATGTTAGCCCAGTGCAATCTATGTTAAACTTTTAACCACAAGAACTGTAAGATAATAAATTTTTGTTTTAAGTCACTAAGTTTGTGGTAATCTGTTACAGAAGCAACAGAAAATTAATACAATGACTTATGCCATTTAGTTCTCAAAAAACATCAGGTAGCATTATTATACTTACTTTACAATAGAGAAAAATAAGTCTCAAAATGATTAAGTGAACTAAAGTCACCTGGTTAGTGAGATATAAAGCAGAAGTTAAACTCCACATTTCTCTCTGAATAAAAATGACAATTTTAAATCAGGTTTAGCCTAAAGCTGCCTCCTTACATATTTTAAGTTTGGCCTAAAGGTTTTTCTGTACATTGTGAACCATAACAAGTTGAGGTGTAAACAGACCATAGCCTACACTTGTGCCAATCACTGAGTTTTGGCTAATCAAATGTAGCCAACTGTTCAAACTGTGTTCAAATAAGGCAATCACCAAGCTGTAACCAATCCAGTTGTTTCTGCACCTGAATTTCTTTTTCTGTACCTCACTTTGCTTTCTCTGTTCATAAGTTTTCTTTCACCCCATGGCTGTGCTGGAGTCTCTGAGCCTACTATGGCTCAGAAGTCTGCCCAATTCGCAAATTGTTCATTGCTCAATTAAACTCCTTTAAATTTAATTCAGTTGAAGTTTTTTTCATCAACAATTTATGAGACACGTTTTAAAACAATATGCATGGGATAAAGTTTTAGAAGGAAAGATTAAATAGGAATCTGGCAGAGATTTATAATTATATTAGATGTCTGAGAAATTTCCAGAATTAAGAAAATATACAAGTTCTTAATTAAAACAACATGCCAATTCTTAAGTAGAATAAGAAAACACACATTCAGTTAGACACATCATAATAAAACTATTTTTAAAAGCAGAAATTTACTAAAAAATTATAGATGTCATAAAGGAATTTTTAGTAAATAGATAATAGACTTATCAGCAACAACAAAACAAGAAAGTATTAAACTTAATTGTCTAAATAATTGAAGAGAGAAAACCAAACCAAACTAAAACAAAACAAAAACAACCCCAGGGGCTTAGAACTCTTAATCCAGCTAAAGTATCATTCAAGATTAAGAGCAAAATAAAGATAATTACAGTTAAAGACAAATAATAATTTTGTGGTTGAAAATAAGCTGATATTAAGATACAAGCAAAAGGACACAGTATACAGGAAGAGAATATTAATAGTTGAAGCACTTAAGATTGTTGTACTCTACTGAGATTAGAGCTGATGATTATCACTATATATAGCATTCGTGCATTTTTGCTTGTTTGTTTGCTTTTTATAAGTTAAGGTAACTTCTAAGTACAGAAACATCCTGTGAACCTCCAGACTAGGGACGTAAATGTAAAAGGCTTAGTGGGAGGGAGAATTAAGTAATATCCTTGCATCAATGCAGTAGAGAAATGAAAATAAAAGTAAAGAAACAAAAAGAATAAGAACACTTAACAAATAAAAAGTCAAAGTAATTTGCTAAACTCAAAATTATGTGAAGGTGCTAGAGAAAGATTAATTAGACCTCCTGTGTCTAAGTGAGAGGTGACAGCGTGCTGGCAGCCCTCACAGCCCTGGCTCGCTCTCGAGGCCTCCTCTGCCTGGGCTCCCATTTGGCGGCACTTGAGGAGCCCTTCAGCCCACCACTGCACTGTGGGAGCCCCTTTCTGGGCTGGCCAAGGCCGGAGCTGGCTCCTTCAGCTTACAGGGAGGTGTGGAGGGAGAGGCACGAGTGGGAACTGGGCTGCACGCGGGGCTTGCGGGCCAGCTGGAGTTCCGCGTGGGCGTGGGCTTGGCAGGCCCCGCACTCCGAACGGCAGGCTGGCCCGGGCAATGAGGGGCTTAGCACCCCGGCCAGCGGCTGTGGAGTGTGTGCTGGGTCCCCCAGCAGTGCCGGCCCACCGGTGCAGCACTCGATTTCTCACAGGGCCTTAGCTGCCTCCCTGCGGGGGGCAGGGCTCGGGACCTGCCTGAGCCTCCCCCTCCTCCGTGGGCTCCTGTGCGGCCTGAGCCTCCCTGACGACCTCCGCCCCCTGCTCCAGGGCACCCAGTCCCATCGATCACCCAAGGGCTGAGGAGTGCAGGTGCACGCATGGGACTGGCAGGCAGCTCCACCTGCCGCCTGGGTGCGGAATCCACTGGGTGAAGCCAGCTGGGCTCCTGAGTCTGGTGGGGACTTGGAGAACCTTTATGTCTAGCTAAGGGATTATAAATACACCAATCAGCACCCTGTGTCTAGCTCAAGGTTGTGAATGCACCAATCACTACTCTGTATCTAGCTACTCTGGTGGGGACTTGGAGAACCTTTGTGTGAACACTCCCTATCTAGCTAATCTAGTGGGGAAGTGGAGAACTTTTGTGTCTAGCTCAGGGATTGGAAACGCACCAATCAGCACCCTGTCAAAACAGACCACTCGGCTCTCTGTAAAATGGACCAATCAGCAGGATGTCCGTGGGACCAGATAAGAGAATAAAAGCAGGCTGCGGGAGCCAGCAGTGGCAACCCGCTCGGGTCCCCTTCCACACTGTGGAAGCTTTGTTCTTTAGCTCTTTGCAATAAATCTTGCTGCTGCTCGCTCTTTGGGGCCACACTGCCTTAATGAGCTGTAACACTCACCACGAAGGTCTGCAGCTTCACTCCTGAAGCTAGGGAGACCACGAACCCACCAGGAGGAATGAAGAACTCCAGACGCACCGCCTTAAGAGCTGTAACACTCACCGCGAAGGTCCGCATCTTCACTCCTGAGACAGCTAAACCATGAACCCCACCAGAAGGAAGAAACTCCTAACACATCCGAACATCAGAAGGAACAAACTCCGGACACGCCGCCTTTAAGAACTGTAACACTCACCGCGAGGGTCCGTGGCTTCATTCTTGAAGTCAGTGAGACCAAGAACCCACCAATTCCAGACACATAAGCAGCTAAAAATGAGGTATAAAATACAAATTACTATTACAAGTTGAGATTAAAATAAATGATACGTAATATCCATATTTAGAAAAGCAAGATAAGGCCTGGTGCAGTGCCCAGGTTGGTTTACAATTCAAATGTATTTTTCACATACCCCTGGGAGATATTAAAGAAGTATATATAAAATTATTCCACCACATTGGCTACGTAAATGACATTCAAGATTAACTAATGATGAATATTCACTCCAAAAGTATTAAACCTATGAAGGAAGAATGAACCATTGTGTTAAGTTATGCCATGTTCTGCTCTTTCCTGAAAATAAGAGAATCTACACTTTCCTGCCTCCTTCTAATTAGGCAGTACCATTGTCGAGATCTGCTAATTGAAGAGAGACTGTAGCACTTCTGACATGAGCCAGAAAAAAGCACTTGTTAATTTTCTAGTCTCTCTTCCCCACAAGCCAAAACAAATTTAGAAGATTGCCACGTTGCTGCAAGTAGGACAACTCTGGTAAGTAGCCTGTACCCCAGATAGACTATCTTGAGTAAAAAACAGTGAAGAAGCATTTTTTTTAATGTGGTAACTGGTAAACATTTTCCAGAATTGATAACAGATTGAAACTCCTTAACAAATTACAAGCAGAAAAAATAGTCAACAAAAGAGTCAAACGGTAAAGTATTTGAACAATTTATTCTGAGCCAAATATGAGTTACCAAGGCCAGAAACACAATCTCCAGAGGCTTTGAGAACATGTGCCTGAGGTGGTTGGGTTACAGCTTGATTTTATACATTTTAGAGAGAAAGAAGTTACACGCTGATACATAAAGCAATACATGTAAGAAGTGAAAGGTTCTTTTATGAGTTTGAACCCTGGGAGCACGCCAAGAGACAACACAAGGCAGTGTGGAGCAACATGCCGTTTTAATGAGCGCCTGGGTGCAGGCCGGCTGAAGCCTAAAATGGCATCAGCCCCAACTGAGGATGGGACAGGGGTTTTATAGTCCTCTGTAAACAGGAAGTGTTGCAGTCTGACGTGACTACTATGTCGTACCCGGACTGCCTCTTTCTCGAACTTCAGGGGTATGTCTTCAAGCCAGGGTATGTGTTTTCCTGCTGGCTCTCTTCCTGCTTCTGCTATCTTGCTGGCTTTTGCTGCTGATGCAAATGGCCTTGAGCCTTGGGACTGGGCCTGAGGAGGGAGGAGTTATTCATCCGTTCGAGCTTTCAGTCCCCGGGAGAATCTGATCAAGAAGTACATTGCTTTGGCCTGGACAGGTGGGACATCTCAAAGAAGGGGCTTTCAGGTCATAGGTGGATTTAAACACTTCTTGATACTTGCACATGCATGTTTATAGCAGCACAATTTGCAATTGCAAAAATGTGGAACCAGCCTAAATGCCCATCAATCAACAATTGGATAAAGAAAATGTGATATATATTGGAGACTATTATTCTAAGTGAAGTAACTCAGAAATGGAAAACCAAGCATCATATGTTCTCACTCATACGTGGGAGCTAAGCTATGAGGACACAAAGGTGTAAGAATGATACACTGGACTTTGGGTACTTGGGTGAGAGGGTGAGAGGTAATAAGGGATAAAAGACCACACACTGGGTACAGTGTACACTGTTCGGGTGATGGGTGCACCAAAATCCCAGAAATCACCACTGAAGACCTTATTTATGTAACCAAACACCACCTGTTCCCAAAAAACGTATTGGAAAAAATATAGAGGAGTGAAGGCCTTCTGGCAAGGTTCTCCTTAACCCACAATGTGTTTTAAGAGGAGTGAACCAATGTTCTGTTTCTGACTGATTATGAGGCAGTATATGTACATTAAATTTTCTCACCTGCATCAGCCTTCATCTTTATGTATCAAAGTATAAGCCATCCATGTATAAGGCTGTCTGCAAAATCCTTCACTAATAAAACTAAACCCCATAAGTACGTATAAGAGATCCCCTTTTCACTTCTATCATTCATAGAGGCATAAGCAAGGGAAAAAAATTCAAAGATAAGAGTTTCATGATAGTAGAGAAGTCTTGATCTGTGATTTTTGGAAAAGCACATCAAGGATATCATTTTCTTCTGGGGAGAAACTTTCCTAGTTAGCTTTACTTTAAGGGTTCCAATCAGTGTACAGTTACAAGAACGTGGAGGGACCCTTCTGAGTTATGAGACTATGAACCCAAAGTTTAAGTTCCCAAAGTTTTGCTGTAGTGTGGATGGCAAGGATAGTCTTTCTCTGATATTCTCAGCAGATCCAATCTTCAGGTTCTAGATTGTGAAGAGGTTGATTGTCCTCAGTGAACCATAAAAAGCTTTCTTTACACCGTGAAAATACACTGTGGCATAATAATCTACTATTATAACATCAGCCCTCTTGTATGGGAAGCTTTTCTACAATCAGAAAACATGGATTGAAAGTAACAATTGAATGAAATCCCTTTATAAATGTTTAAATGGCCCATCAGGTAGCCAAATGTACCTGAAGTTTTGATTGTCTTCCCAGGAATATGGATTTAACAAACCAAACGTTGGCTATAAACTATTTTAGCAATTTGGTAGCCACCACAAAATATATACATTTAATTTGGATCATTTTATCTTCTCCATGAGTCATGGAATGCAGAACTTTTTTTTTTTTTTGAGACGAAGTCTTGCACTATCGCCCAAGCTGGAGTGCAGTGGCACGATCTCAGCTCACTGCAAACTCTGCCTCCCAGGTTCATGCCATTCTCCTGCTTCAGCCTCCTGAGTAGCTGGGACTACAGGCACCCACCACCGCACCCAGCTGATTTTTTGTATGGGGTTTCACCATGTTAGCCAGGATGATCTCGATCTCCTGACCTCATGATCCACCCGCCTCGGCCTCCCAAAGTGCTGGGATTACAGGCATGAGCCACCACTCCCTGCCGGAATGCAGAACTTTTAAAAACAAAAGCTTTAAAGCCTCAGGAAGGACAAGGCTGCAACTGTTCTTGTTCCCCATGAGTCCATGTGTAACATTGGACTTATGTCCTCTTGAATGCCTGTTGTTTCTCAAATTTAAGTGCATAGCACTGATAACTAATGGGTTATCATAGGTAATTTGACATAGACCATGTATCAGCTGATTTAACATGAAAATCTGGCAAAGTACTTTCTTGGTATTCAATTTATTCTTGTTCTGCTTAGGTTAGCAGTTTTATAAACCAGTTTTTGTTAAAGTTTCAGGAATTCTTAGCCAGTCCAAATGATATAAACTTAAAGTTATTAGAAAGCTATATTCAAGAATGCTTTTCAGGGTCCTTTCCATCCTTTCATGAACCTCCTAAGACACCATATTCTAGGATTTTGCATGCTAGTGAACTTTTCAGAAACTATATCAGCATTATGCAATTAACCATGGAAATGACTTTAAATAGTCATAAAGACACAATTGACAAGGAAATTTGGTTATTTCTGTGGTCAGCAATAATCTAATATAATAACCTTAATTATGATTGATAGCATATACTCAGACATTAGAATTTTAGAAATCCCATGCAATTTTGGAGCATATATTAATATTATTCACTAAAATATAACCTGAAGAAGATTAAACATTATTTTTATTTTGACTATTCCATGCAACTAAGCATGTCACATAATCCTGTTTACATCTCTTTTGGATGCTCCAGGGGCCCTCTGTAGCATCCAAAAGTTAGGGGTTAGAAAAGACAATTTTAAAGCTGAAATTTGATTTTTGGGAAGCCTATCGAGTATGTTAAAGGCCTATAACCCTTGCTATTATGCTTAACCAATTTGACCATGAGGTGAGATTCTCATAAACCCTTTATAATCCTTTACCAATGTTTGTTAAAGAGCAGATCAGTGCTTTAAGAGAGTAGAATGATTGTTACCAGAGGCTAGGAAGGATTGGGGGTGGGAATGAAGAGAAGCTGGTTAATGGGTACAAACATACAGTTAGATAGAAGAAACAAGAAGTAAGTGTCTGATAGCATGTACAGTTGGGGTCCCCAACCCCTGGACTGGTACTGGTTCCTTGCCTGTTAGGAAATGGGCTTTGCAGCAGAACATGAGCAGCTGCAAGTGAGCAAAGCTTCATCTGTATTTACAGCCGCTCCACATCACTCACATTACCACCTGAGCTCTGCTTCCTGTCAGATTAGTGGTAGCATTAGATTTTCATAGGAGCGTGAACCCTATTGTGAATTGCACATGCGAGAGATCTAGGTTGCGCATTATGAGAATCTAATGCCCGATGATTTGCCACTGTCTCCCATCACCCTCAGGTGGAACTATCTAGTTTCAGGAAAATAAGTTGAGGGCTCCCACTGATTCTACATTATGGTGAGTTGTATAATTATTTCATTATATTATATATATATTGCAATGCAATAATAAAAGAGATAAAGTGCACAATAAATGAAATGCACTTGAATCATCCTGAAACCATCCTCCCCACCCAATCCGTGGCAGCATTTTCTTCCACGAAATTGGTTCCTGGTGCCAAAAAGATTGGAGACTGATGTACAGCATGGTGAATATAGTTAATGATACAGTGTTATATACTTGAAATTTGCTAAGATTGCAGATCTGAAGTATCTTCGCCACCTCACCCATACAAATGATAGTTATGTGAGTTGATGGATGTGTTAATTAACTTGATTGTGGTGATCATTTTACAATATATACAAATTATCAAATCATCACATTGTGTCACTGAACAATCTAGCCTGAAAAGGCATTTTAAAACTTTTCTTTTCCTTTTTTCTGTTTTTTTTCTCTAGTCTCAAGACACAACATTGAAACTAGCTAGAGAAACCTTTTTTTATTCTTAAACTATAGCCTTGAAATGTACTTTCTTTCAAATACCATGTCCTTCCCTTTCTTATACACTCCCTTACACTATACACATTTATCTAACTGTATGCTTGTTTCTAATTGTGTCCTTACATGGAAGTTTCAGTGGCTAATCTTGAAACAGACCTTCAGGCATAGAGAACTAGCTGCAAAATTTCGGAGATACCTCAAGGCAGTTAGTCAACAACTTGGACATCATTGAGATGACACCAGCCCATGATCCAGGTGGACCACAGCTTGAGATAGCCACTGGAATAAGACACACAGACCTTATACTCAGCACCCTTCCTGCATGTTTCCCATTCCAAGTTTCCCCTTTTAAGCCCCTTGCCCCAGCCTAAAGTTTGAAGTGCTTACTTTGGAAGTGAATCCAGCCACTTAACCACTGCTAGTTATGGTAAATAAAGCTACTTTCTTTCTACCATATTTTGCTCTTGTTATTGGGTTCCACACAGCTAGAGTTGGGTTACAGTTGTACACTTTCAATATTAAAACTTTTTTCTGTCAATTATACCTCAATAAGG
The DNA here is from genome assembly GCF_000001405.40 of Homo sapiens. NCBI lineage: Eukaryota > Metazoa > Chordata > Mammalia > Primates > Hominidae > Homo > Homo sapiens. Next base: position 103,193,482 of record NC_000009.12, read on the forward strand.
CTGGAAAAAGGAAAAATGAAAGAATTAGCTGTGGACTGAAATATTATATTTGCAAATTAGTTATTCAAAGAGTGACAACTCATAACTATTCCATAAAAGACTCTCAAAGCTAAGTAATAAGCAAACAAGTAGCCCCACAAAAAATGGGCGAAATACCTGAAGTAACACATCACCAAAAGAGATAGTGGATAGCAAATATGCATATGATGAGATGCTCAATATCATTATTAATTAGGATAGGCAAATTAAAACTATGAGATATCTCCACACACACATTTGGAAACACTGTATTCAAAAGCACAAGCAGTATCAGATGTTGGCAAATGTGGAACAATAGGACTTCTCATATATTGCTTGTAGAAATGCAAAATGCTATAATCAATATTGAAGTTTCTTATAAAGTTAAACTTATACCTAACCTATGACCCACCAATTCCACTTGTATTTGCTCCAGCGAAAAGAAACAATGGTTCACACAAAAATCGATACCAGGATGTTTATAGCAGGATTTTTTTCGCTGTAATTACTACACACTGGAAACAACCAGATGTCTTTCAAATGGTGAATACCTAAACAAAATGCATACATCCATAAATTGGATACTACATAGCAAGAAACAATAATGAGTTCTTTGTTCTCACAGCAATGTGGGTGAGTTATAAATGCATTTGACTAAGTGAAAAAGGCCAGACCCAAAGGCCACATATGCATGATTCAATTTATATGACATTCTGGAAAAGATAAAGCTATAGGAAAGAACATCACATCAGTTAATTGTCATGGGTTAGGATTGGGGAAGTGGTTGATTGCAAAAAAAGACAGCAAGAGGAAATTTTTCTGGTGATAGAATAGTTCTATATAATATTGTGTATATATAGATACACAATTCTGTGCATCTATATATAATACCATAAAGAGTGATTTCTACCATATGTAATTTTAATAAATAGCCAAGACAGAATGCAGAATGAATCTAACTATATTAACAGTGAGTAATATTACCTCATTTAAGGAGGTAGAAAAAGAACAAACAAATTAAAGTCTGAGAGAATAACATTGTAAAACACTGTTTGACCAGATATCATCAGCTAATAAACAAAAGAAATAGACACGAGCATGGTACTCTAGTTGGTAAACGTTTTCTCTCAAGAGCATGAAATAGCAACTCTGAACTACTTTACTAGTATCAGCATATATATTGTAGATAATGAAAGCCATGTTTCTCTAATATAAGTTAGAAATAATCAAAGAGAGAATGACATAATAAACTCTGTAGCGTTGGGTTAGATTTAGAGTTATCAGTATGATTTCAATTAAAAATATATACATACAAAAAGTATACAAAAATATGTATACCTCGGTTACTTTACATAAATACATTTCCTGTCTCTGTCTGATGAGAGTTTGCAGAAGCAGTGATACCCTAGCAGCAACTAATAAAACTAGAGCACAGATCTGAGTGTTTAAATATCATTACCTAATGAAAGGAACCAAGGCTCAATGGAGAAGTAGTTGGTTCCAGGACTGGGGTAAGAAAAATACAAGTTAACCCTGGAATTTCATGTGGTTCCAGGAGGTAAATAAGTGATAAAATTTTAAAGGAGAGGAGAAAAAAAATGAAAAAAAGATGAGACATGTCAAAATGAGGTTCAAGAGATCAGTAGGACTTGTTTTCTGAGAACCAGTCACCAGACCCCACTGAACAAAACAGAAGCTGATGAGAACAGGATGCAGCAAAGAAATCAGCCCAAACCAGCTAAAACCAAGATGCCAATGAAAGCAGCTTCTGGTTACCCTCACTGCTTATTTCATACTAATTATAATGCATTTGGATGCTAAAAGACACTCCCACTACAAACATGACAATTAACAAATGCCATGACAACCCCCAGAAGTTACCTTATATAGTTTAAAAGAAGAAGGACCTTTGGTTCCAAGAACCCTTTACCCCCTTTTCAGAACATTCATGAATAATCCACCCCTTATCTAGCATATAATCAAGGAACAGTTCTCTAAAAATAGCTAGCCAGCCATTCACGAGGGCTGCTGCTGCTGCTGCTACTACTCTCTCTATGGAGCAGCCATATTCCTGTACTCAGTTGCTTTAATAAACTTGCTTTCCCTTTGCTCTGTTGGCTCACTTATGTTCTTTCTTGGACAAAGCCAAAAACCATCCTGGCCTAAACCCCGATTTTAGGCCTCACCTGCATCAAAAAGACATAGAAGCCAATCTGAAAGAGCTCCTGTGACCAAAGCTAACAGAGTTTGAGCAATTAAATTAATAATTATAGTTTTATATTATAACCCAGATAATAAAGTAAATATTAATGAGTTCATAGTAATATAAATAAATAAATAAATAAGTAAACTGGGCAGGAGAGACAACTCTTTCTTACACAAGAATTCCAATTAATACATTTCTAAAAATGAGGGAGATAGAAAATAATCATTAGAATGCCATATAATAATCATTGTAGGCAAAAAATTGTGAGCAAAAGTACACGAATAAATAACATATTTGTACAATCTCAAATTTTTTGCCCCTATTTATTATAGTAACTGTACTATGAAGAAACCTAGTAGATATCACTGTAATCAAGGGATCAAGGTTCATATCACTCTAATGAGCCATACTAACATCATTGAACTGTTGACATAATCCACTCATTCAGCAAAGCCTATTGCCTGTTTGGTATTTTTCCCCCAAATCCAAATCTTTAATATAATTATGACAAAATATCAGAGAGACTTCAGATCCAAATTGAGAGACATTCTACAAAATACTTGCAAAATTGTCAAGATCATGAGGGACAAACAAAAACTATTGAACTGTCTCAAACCAGAGACAACTAAGAAGTCAGGACAACTAAATGCAATGTAGGCTTCTGGATTGGATCCTCAAGGACAAAAAGGACATTAGTTGAAATATGCTGAAATATAAATTGTTTGAAGTTTGCTTATTAGTATTTTACCACTTTAGTTCAGTTAATATTATTTTACCAATGCTAATATTATTGTACCAATTATCTTAGTTTTTATAATAGTATCATGACTATACACAAAATTAATATTGCAAGCTGGGTGAAGCATCTACAAAACTCCGTTATTAACTTTGCTACTCCTTTGTACATCTGAAATTATTTCTATAAACTATCAAAAACCCAAATTGAAACAAACAAAAAAAGAAAGCAAAACAACATTTTTTTGAAGTATTATATGGTTAAAAGAACAGACAAGACTAAAGAGAATTGTACCAAAAGTAATGCATAAGGGAACAATGAAAACAGATGTACAACATAACATCAAGATTTAGAGATATCACAGAGTTCAGAAAAACATTGCTCCCAGGCTAAAATTTCAGACTCCCATTCATTGCTCAAAGGCAGTTATACATTTTAGCCTTTGAAACCTGGCCTCAAGTTGATTTGACTGTAGGGTAGAATTTTGATATAAGGTTAAGAAAACACCACAAGATAGTACTGATATTTGGCTGAATGAAGTATTAATTCCTGACATTGTCCTCAGTCTTGAGTAGAAATCAGAGTAAAGAAACTGCTTCTCAAAATTACATGGATTTTTGAGACTCACAAACACTGTGCTGTACTGTCACACAACTACCAATGGGAATATAAATGCTTCAGTCAGAAAGAGTTAACACATTTGAATATACAGGGTTTGCCAAATAGTAAAGTATTTTAGGCTATTAACGTCATTAGATACATTGCATGTTGTTATAAGAACCATTTATTTATGAACATGTCACAAAATACATAAAATATGTACTTAAATATAAATATTGATCTATTATTATGCTTTTATTTATGATTCACTTTTTTTGCAAAAACAAATTAAAATTGATACACCCTAATGTAACCATTAATATTGAATCAGAATATTATTTATGATTTCATAGGTCTAGGAAAATTTCTTATATGAAAGAAAGATGAAATTGAGTTATCTATATAAATATTGTTTGACAACAAATAAATTAGCCAAATTTGGTTATATACTAACAACTGCAAAGAATATTGCAGAAAACTGGCTGGGCACGGTGGCTTACATCTGTGAGCCAGCACTTTGGGATGCAAAGATGGGCAGATCACTTGAGGCCAATAGTTTGAGAACAATCTGGCCAACATAGTGAAACCCTGTCTCTACCAAAAAATATGAAAATTAGCCGAGTGTGGTAGGATTTACCTGTAGTCCTAGCTACTCAGGAGGCTGAAGTGGGACCTGGGAGGCAGAGGTTGCAGTGAGCCAAGATCGTGCCTCTGCACTCTAGCCTGGGCAACAGAGCAAGACTCTGTCTCAAAAAAAAAGAGAGAAAGAAAAAAGAATATTGCAGAAAACTACTTAGTAGAAAACCACTTAGTAGATACAAGAAGTCATTTATGTTCCTCCAAAAAACTGAATGTATAATTTTAGATCAGATAGTTTTGATTTTAATGATGATACTATATTAGTGCTATATTAAAGCCGAAATGACTATAGCCAGACCAACTCTTTTACTCTTTAAGTGAGGAAACTAAGTCCAGTAATGGGTTCTCTATTAGAATCCAAAAAGTGCATTATTTGTTTTCAGTTAATGATTAACTCTTCATCACTTAAGGAAAAAAAAAAAAAAAACTCAGTCTTTATCAAAATATTCAAAGATATGCTAAAATATGCCATAAACCTACTTGTATGAGTGTACCTGTCATTTTTCCTTTTGTGTATGCTCTGATCTTGACTAACTGACTCCATGTTATCCCCAGTATTTACAACATGCTTTCTATTTTATGATATGCTTGTTCTGTTCCTTCTACCAGGAAAGTTTCCTTTTACATTTTTCTTCTAATGCACATCTTTTCATTCTTTAAGTATTAATTCAAATAATACTTACCCTAACAAAACTTCCACAGCAAAATTAAATGTCTCCCTTATCTGTGCTCTCACTATTTGTTCCTAGCTAGATTCACTCATTAACCCAACTGTATTACTCTGTTCTCATACTGCTATAAAGATACTATCTGATAACTGGGTTTATATAAAAAAGAAGGTTTCATTTATAAAGAAAGAAGGTTTAACTGACTCACAGTTCTACATGGCTGGGGAGGGCTCAGGAAACTTACAATCACGGTGGAAGCTTAAGGGGAAGCAAGCCCATCTTACCACAATGGAGTAGGAGAGAAAGAGAGAAGGAGGGAGTGTCATACACTTTTAAGCCATCGGATCTCATGAGAATTCACTGTCATGAGAACAGCATGGGGGAAACCACCTCTATGATCCAATCACCTCCCACCAGGTCCCTCCCTTAACACATAGGGATAACAATTCTAGATGAGATTTGGGTGAGGATATAGTGCCAAACCATATCACCACCTATCCAATTTTTCAACAAACACTTTTAAATGCTTCCTATGTGTTCATTCTAAGAACTGGAGGCACCTTGCTAAAAGAAACAGACATGGTCCTCAGTTCGAAAACATGATACAAAAAAAACCATGTATATATAAGTCTGTGTGTGTTTTCTTTCAAAAGAAAGACATACAGAGAGAAAGGTGGATAAATAATATACAGGTAAATAGATATATATGAATACATAAATGATATGTAAGTCTTTACCATAGGATCTTGCAGTCCTATATTTCCCAAATTGAAGTGATGACTGCCATTCTATTACTATCACCACAAACAATAAAGCAGGTTTTAATTTTTTCAGAAACAACTATGTTATCCTGGGAGTTAAAATAACCTAACCATAGAAGTATTATAATAAAATAGAAGATAAAGACAACTTTTAAGGCATGCTTACAATTAACTCAAAACGAAATACAAAAAGCCACAAAATGCTTCCGTTTGGTTTCCCTGGCATGAAGCAGCCATCTTCTTCACATTTAAAACTTTGCCAATAGATCAACATACAGAATTATCATAAAATTTTATATGCCCAAGATACTCATTTTGATCACAAATTTTTATACAGCAATTCTCAAGATAAATGAAATAATGTTAAACTTGACTTTAAAAATAATCACATCTAACCTCTCGCTTGGTGTGCTTAAAAACAAATGTATTAACCATTGAAAAATATGTTAGCCCATAAAGAAAGAGAAGGAACAGTATTTACTCATAGCTAATTGAAAATACGCTATGTGGAAATTATGATGCTAGACTTTTCATATGTGTCATTTCTTATCATGTTGAAATCACAATCACAACAAAGAAGAGACTATCTCAGCTCACGTCTCTACCTCCAGTGCTCAAATAATGCCAAGTGCATAATGGCATTCAACTTGGTGTTTGTTGAATTAATTTGTATAATATTAAAGAAAAATGAAACAAAAATCACCTAGCTATTAAGGAGTGGAATTGAAATTCTAAACAAGTTCTCACTGAGTTAAAGATATTTTTGATGTGAATTTATTCATTTATTGAACTAACACAAAAGAAAAGTAAGTGAAGCGATTTGTAGCAAGTTCTACACACTATGAACAAACTGTGTGTCCCAACCTAGGAATGGAAAGAATAGGCATAAATAATGTCCCCATTTCCTTGTAGGGTCACAGGTCTTTGAAATTCTAGAGAAAGTAGAAATCTTTCATCTAAATAGCCAATTGTATAAAATTGTCTTTTTTGACAGGAATCTTGGTGATTATATAACTCTAACCCTTTGAAAAAACTAAAGGTCAAAATAGCCTTTGTCCTCTTTTCACTAAAGATCTTTATTTTATAAAAAAGAAACTTCTTGTTTTATTGTAAAAGAAAAAAAATAAAAACTTGAAAAGTTCATTTCACTCTATCATTCATGAAAATATCATTCTATACAACACACATTCAAAAATTTGCTGTCCAATGTTTTGGGACATTAATCAACATTCTAAAAAAATTATATAATAGTGAGTTATTGAACAAAAATAATCTGTACTCTAATATATGTGAATACATTGTATTTCTTTTTTTGACATACATTGATATTTTTATTGAGGTTAGAATAAAATAATGACAGTTGATAGCTAAAACAAGCAATACATGCTTAAAATTCAACCCTAAAAATTAATACATTTTATACATATATTTGTTATGTATAATAAAAATGCCCTTAGTTATCTACATACTGATTATTGTTTAGCTGCACAATCAGTATCAGTATCTGAGTTTCCCTTGGTGAATATATACTTCATCCACCCTAATGAATTATTGTTTTCATATTCCATTTGAAATGGAATGACTGGCTTGGCAAATATCCAGGGAATAGAATACAGCTATTTTAATGTTTATTTATTTCTTTGTCTTAACTTTAAGATAGTTCACGTTTTGAGGTCCAACCCAAATGCTGCCTCTTCCATGCAGTATTTTCTGATCTAATATCAAAAACAGTTTCTCCGTTCCTGAGTTTGCCATATACCTTGGCTCCTTGCTTGTTAAATAAATTACTTTCTATTTTTGAATCAGGCTTTTTCTTTGTACTTTTGCCCACACGTGGTTCAGATGCTGACATTTTAAGGCTTTTGCACACAAAGTCGTTTAAACTCTGCAACCTTGTTTAATTATTAGTTTCCTGAAAACTGTTATCAAGTGTGCATCAGTGCATGTTAATTACAGATATCATTTATTACTTTTGGAAAATGAAAGGATTGTATAGTGAAAATAGCAACATCTTTGACAAAATTGGAGAGAATAGGGTTGCATCAGAAATCCACTAAAACTGTCACTCAAGTCAGGTTACTTAAGTCTTTTGGCTTCAGATTCCTTCTCTGTTACATAAGGGTAAATCATACTTACCAGAAATACATTTATCACAAAACTGGCCCATATTAAGTGCTCTTAGGCTTTTGTGAAAGCTTAAATAAAATTATGCTTGAGTATTCATAAAATCTTGGACACACAAAAACTTGTTATTTTTACAAATGCCTTCAACAACATTTCTAAAAATACAGTCTGTGGAATCTTGACAGTCTCCAAGATCAAGGGGTTTATGAGGATAAAACTATTTTTATAATAAAACCAAGTTATTTTTTGCTGTTTTTACCCTTTTCCTCTCGTCTGTATGGTAGAGATTTTCAAAGGTTACCTTATAATGTAATATCATCATCATTCCAGAAAATAATTGTATGCATATTTACATATTCTTATATTGTAAATAGTTCTCAGTTTCAGTTTCTAGTATAGTAAATATTATTAGCTATGACTAACATAAACAAAAGCTCTTGAGGTCTTCAACAATTTAAGAGTATAAAAATATCCTGAAACCAAAAATTTGAAAACTGCTGGTCTACAGATAGATGGAGTTCTGCAGCACTTTAGACCATCATGACCTCAGAAATAAAAATGCTACATATTTTTCTTTTTCCTATTCTTAAAATTTGTAAAGAAATATTCAGACTAGACAAAAAAAAAAAAAATAGGCTGACTATCTAAATACCTTCCAGGATGCCATTATCTTGCTGAACTAGCATAGCCTAAATCTGGTTATTGGTCCTGCTTTCATAAAAACTGACTGCTTTCAGCAGCTCTAAAGCTGAACAATGTTATTTGGTCAAATATACCTAACATATAAATATGCAAAACCCAGAAGAATGCATCAAAATGCTGGTGTTATATAAATTATGATGGTTATGTCTATTAATTGTGCTATTTATCTGAGGAGATCACTTTTCTACTTTTAGGAACCTTTATAGATTCTTCTTTATAGGTCATTTTTCTACTTTTAGGGATCTTTATAGATTCCTCTTTATAAACCATCTTTATAGATGATCTAACTATGCCATTGGTCTAAAATGCATAGGGTTAGAGCAAAAGAATCTAAGATATAATACGGCATACTTCACTGAAACCATGGTAAGCTTTTGGAAATGACCAAAAGTTTACTGACCCAGGGCAAAATACTACCTTCTAGTAATTTTAAAGCATATCATCATGTTCTTTAAATTAAACTTGATTCTCTCCATGTAAATCTCCCCATGTATAATTTAAGCAAAAGACATTTTATTGTAAGGATGCCAGAGAATTCACAGCATCTATGGAAAGATTGAAGAAACAAAATTGACATAAGCACAAATATCTAAGGGAAGGTCTGGTGCTGGTGACACAGTCAATATCATGGACACAGTCTGGTTAAGATACTACTGACAAAAGAGGCTGGATATTGCTCTTGATAGTGTTATCTTCTTCACCATGAATGAACTCTAAAGGATCCTTGTTCCTTTGTGTCATTAACTCCAAATCCCAAATTCCAAATGAAGCATCAGATTGATCAAGTTAATTTACTTGTCTGTTTCCTATTTACTAAGGAGTAGGGTTACTTGGCTCTATTGATTTAATCACTTGTTCTTAGTCAACATAATGTAACCATTTTTTTTTTCTTTTGTTTTGCTTTTTGAGACGGAGTCTTGCTCGGTCTCCCAGGCTGGAGTGCAGTGGCGTGATCTCGGCTCACTCACTGCAAGCTCCGCCTCCCGGGTTCACGCCATTCTCCTGCCTCAGCCTCCCGAGTAGCTGGGACTACAGGCGCCCGCCATGACTCCCGGCTAATTTTTTTTGTATTTTTCATAAAGGCAGGGTTTCACCGTGTTAGCCAGAATGGTCTCAATCTCCTGACCTCATGCTCTGCCCACCTCGGCCTCCCAGAGTGCTGGGATTACAGGCGTGAACCACCGCGCCCGGCCAACCATTTTTAAAATAACAGAAAATTGACTCATCTTCATTCCAGAAAGAGCTCACCGAAATCTCATCAGTTGGTGCATCAACTGGTTCAAAGACAAGATCTCCAAGTGAAGCAAATTCCCCTTCATGTTTTGTCACTAATCTGTTTCCATATCCCACAACCATATAAACAAAAAAAGGCTCACCACCACAGAAGTCCCCTACTTCATAGATAAGCAAAATAAAAGGAAACTAAAAGTGAAATTAGTTAAAAGAAAGAAAGGCATGACTCAGCATGGAAAGAAAGCTACGTAGAGGCTGTAGTCTTCATTTCTACACTGTTCACAGAGGTGTAATTAATATTTTATACTTCTCTTTCCCACTAGCATTTCACATTTCCTTTGCTTTCAGCTAACACCAGTTTTAGAATTTTTGACCTGGTAGTGTGTATTAATTTTCTGTTGCTGCTATAACAAATTACTACAAATTTAGTGGTTGAAAACAACACAATGGTATTACTTCATAATTCTAGAGGTCGTAAGTCTGAAATATGTATTACTGGGATAAAATCAAGCTGTTTGCAGGCCTGAATTTCTTTGGAAAGCAGTAGGAGATAATCCATTTCCTTGTGATTTCCATATTCTAGAGGATTCCTGAATTCATTGGCCTGTGATCCCTTTCCTCAACTTTAAAGGCAGCTGCATAACATCTTCAAATCTAACCCTAACTCTGACCTTCCTTCCTCCCACTTATCAAGGCCTGTGTGATTACATTAGAAATACCTGGTCAATCCAGGATACTTTTCCATTTCAAGATCCTTACATCGATCACAACTGAAGTTCTCTTTCGCCGTGTAAGATAACGTAATCACCCAGGTTCTGCAAATTCGAATGTGGACATCTCCGGGTGTCATTATTCTGCCTACCATATGGTTATGCCAAATCTTAATTCCTGTGTGACCTCAGAACTTTTTGTCCCTATAATTTAAAATAGCGTTAGTAAAGCAAAAATATAAAATGTAAAAAAAAAGGGAAAAAGGAAGCTGATTGCCTTGGTGAGTCAACACTGGGTATTTTCTGACCACTATTTGAAACAAAAAAGGAAACCACTGATATTCTATGCAAAGATCTGTTCCTGGAAGCCACTCTGAGGAGACACCAGGAGAACTTTTATCAATCCTTCATTGATTTGAAGTAAAAGTGCTAAAGCAATGGTTGTGGGTGGCAACCATTAGCAGATCACAAAATCACTGTAGTGGGTAACTAAACAAGAGGAAACACAAGATGGCATCCTGTGTAACTGGGGTTAAGCATTACTCTCTGAAACTCATGGCATCAGTTTCCTCTTAGGCTCTTCCAACAGAGTATAATCATGTTCATTTCAGTTTACAATCCTTGCAGTCCCATCGATTTGTGAGATTATACCCAGGTCATCCACAGTGGAGGTCTGAAAATGTTCTTAGTTGTACTCTAATTTCACTAACTGCCAAAAGGTTTTCCAGAATAATCTCAGTTGCTTCATTCCTTTAAAGGTGAAGCCCAAAGAACGCATGGCGATTACTTTAGAGGAACAATTAGCAGCAGAGGCAGGGCTGTGCTGATCCCATCTGGCATCGCTGGGAGCTAACACACATTAAAGACATGGCACTTTGGGTCCGGGTCCAGGTCCTGGTTCAGAGCAGCTGCCACACCGTGGCTACTAGAGGATCCTTTTCCGGCTTTGGAAACTGAGGCTGACTGCACCATTTACAGAAATTTCATCATGAAGATCCTTACACTTAACACCTTAAGGTGATGAGTTTTCACATGACTGTTTTCAAGGCCACAGCCAACACCTTTAATCATCATCACTAAAGGCCTGAGACTGCTCTCCGTGCTCAACACCGACGGGAGCGGCCATGTCTTCCAGCCACACGGCAGGCTGGAGTGAAGTGGTACAATCTTGGCTCACTGCAACCTCCACCTCCCGGGCTCAAGCAATTCTCCTGGCTCAGCCTCCTGAGTGCTGGGACTACAGGCGCGTACCTTCTTTAGTAGAGACTGGGTTTCACCATGTTGGCCAGGATGGTCTCTATCTCCTGACCTTGTGATCTGCCTGCCTCAGCTTCCCAAAGTGCTGAGATTACAGGCGTGAGCCATCAGACCCAGCATTTTTTTTTTAATTTAAATTTAAATTTTTTTCATTTTTTTGAAAGGTTTTTTTGTTTTTTTTTGTTGTTGTTGTTGTTGTTGTTTTTGAGACAGTCTTGCTCTGTCACCCAGGCTGGTAGTGCAGTGGCATGATCTCTGCAACCTCTACCTCCCAGGTTCAAGCAATTCTTGTGCCGCAGCCTCCCAAGTAACTGGGACTACAGGTGCACGCTACCACACCTGGCTGATTTTTTATGTTTTAGTAGAGACAGGGTTTCAACCATGTTGCCCAGGTTGGTCTCAAACTCCTGAGCTCAGGCAATCCACCCGCCTTGGCCTCCCAAAGTGCTAGGATTACAGGTGTGAGCCACCACACCCAGCTATTTTTTCTTTCGTTTTTTAATTTTAAAGTTGGCGGCGGGGCGGGGGGGGTCTCAATTTGTTACCCTGGCTGGTCTCGAACTCCCGGACTTAAGTGATCCTCTGGCTCCAAGCCCACTACCAGTCTCAGGTTTCTTTACTAAAAGATCACTACTTTTTTTTCTCTTATCTGCTGCCATGTGAGATGTGGCTTTCACCTTCCTCCATGATTGTGAGGCCTTCCCAGCCACGTGGAACTGTAAGTCCAATAAACCTCTTTTGTAAATTAAAAAAAAAAAAAATCACTATTTAAATACTAGGATGGATTGTGACTGTTGAGGAGTACTTACATATCCTACATTTGACTACAATCCTTCCAAACCAAGTATTCTATCCAAAGGAACATACTGCTATCATGGAGACCAAGGAGGGACTGTTTAAGGTTGCCAAGGTGAAGCGAGCTGAAAGGCTTTGTCCTCGTGCCAGCAACTCTGAAATCTCTCTTAATTCCTGCTGTCCAGGCAGCAGAATGCCATGGTTTCCCCAAGTAGGTAGCTGCTTTAGCAATTAAAGCCCAAATGTCTGTTCTGTTGATCAGAGGTCTCTGAATTTCTGAAATGGTGTTTCGTTTCTGGTGACTGAGTTAATCCTTTACAATCCCTCTTGTAAAGTGTGCTAATAGAAAGAATCCACCTTTCAAAGCTGCAGAACCAGACCGTGCCCTAAATTGACCAACGTAACTGATGTGCCTCGGGAAGTCTCTTGCCAGCTGTCCCTGTGAAGACCCCCCTCCTCCCCCCCAGCTGCTGCCTTGCACACTGAAGCATCTCAGACTGCAAAGCCATGTAGTCATCAAGTCAGTAAATCCCAGGGCTTGGTTAAGTGCTGTGTGATAACTTGTTTGGATGAGACTTAACTTAAAACCACTTACAATAAAATTGGGAAACTACCGTCAAAAAAAAAAAAATAGCGTTAGTAGTTTCTATCAGCATTTTACCCCTGGCTGTTGTAGAAATAGGAGATTGAAACCTTGGAATGATCTGCTTTGTTCCATCCATGCTCTTTCCTAGGCCTCTGTATAGCCTGGCCACATAAAAAGCTTAATATGTAGAAAAAAAATCTCCAATTCAGAAGAAATCATTTTTGTATCCCCTGGTGGAATCATTTATCCATTTTGTCCAAATGAATAAATTAAAAACTGTTGGCTGGAAATTTCTTATGTATAGACGATTGGGTTTGATAGAAACAGATGTCATCCCAGTCTTCTACACCAAGATTCCCAGGCATGAGTATTCTGGCTAATGGAGAAACAAACCACATATTAATAGCTGAATAAGGGCGTATATCTTATCACTGATATAACCCTATTCTTGCAAATTGCTGTAAGACATTCAGCTGTAATTGAAACCAGGCAAGCTTTGCAGTGGCAATATCCATATTGTTGATCCTATACTAGCTTTCCGTCAAAATAGCTCCTTTTTGTAATGACAAGCACAGATATGGTGAATTAAAAAAGGTTGTGGCAGGACTACTACTTTCCAAAAGTATTTCACAAAAGTAAATATACATTTGCTTTCTCTTCTTTAGTCCAAATTTTATTCAGAGCAGAAATGTGCCTAGCCAAAAGGCTGTACTTCTTTGTCCTTCATCCAGGTGTGACCACATGGCAAGAGCTGGTCACTGAGACAAAAATAAAAGTGTTGTGAAAGATTTCCAAGACATCTGTGGAAAGTAAGCTGGCTTAGCTGATAAGAGGATCCTTTTGCAGTCAAGCTTTTCCCCATTTCTGTTTCTTGGCATTCAGAAATGATGGCTGGAGCTCCAGCAATATTCTGGACCATCAGTTGACCTCGAAAGTGGAAAGAATGTTAATCAGATAATAGAAAGAAACTAGTTCACTCATGAACATGAAGCTATACCATAACAGCCATAGACTACATTGCAAGGTGTTTTCTGTTAGAGAAAAAAAAAATGTATTTTTTAAGTTGCTGTTTTATTTTTCTCATTGTATGTTTTATGTAGCAAAACCTAGTTTTAACTAATTAAGAGATTACTGATATTCATATGAACAGGTGTTTTTTTCCCATCTGCCATTAAGAACTTCCCCCATCGTGGGCTATTTCGTGAATATATATATGAGGCATATATGTTACAATTTTTCTGAGGTCCATCTATACACTTCTTAAAACATATTTATCACCATTATTCCAGTCTTGTTCCTCTCAGATATCTGATCATAATACTAAAGACTTGTCCATTGCTCATGCATTCCTAAAGATTCTTATCTCAAACCATTTCATCCTCCTGGAAAAGGGGCGATAAGCTGTACTTCTTATTTTTCTTAATAAGAGGACTTTCCTGTAGGTGTTCAGGACGCTTCTTAATGGGGTGTTAATGGCACAGCAATAAACTTTTGGCTGTCAATATCAGTAAAGGTGATATATATATTTGTAAGTCAGACTCATATTTTCTACCTCATTCAATTATTCTTAAGATGCTTTACATAAATTCCTAAGGGTGAGTTCAGGACACAGAAGTGAAACCAAAGTATTGGGGATGTGAGAACCTTTATTTGCAAATAATTTGTGCTTTCAGGATATTCTTGGGTCTGAATTCTTATAAAGTGTATTCACTTGATGATATAGTGCAGCAGGACACACCTGCCTCTAAGGCTAAGTGTAAAGATATTATCCAATAGGATCTAGTAACCTAGTAACAGATGAAGGGCCCTTCTTAAAAGAAGTACTGCTTCTTAAAAAGGGAATAACAAATGAAAGAAAGAAACCAGAGCTGTTAAAATGATTACTCCGTTAGGTCTTGCCATGGTTTAATTACAGAAATTCTGAGCAGCATTAGATCCACTGCATCACAAGGCTGATTATCAAATTGCTCCAACTGAAATCTAAAGGTTAGGTAAAGGACTTACATGTAAAACACTTTCAACAACAACTAAGTGAATTGGAGTAGCACACTCAAATGTAATTTGAATTACATTGAAAATTTTATTAACATCTTAGTGAAGTTGGTTCTATGATACACCTGTCTATATGTTTAAAGGGAATGTCTCAATATGGGACAAATCACTGGGCTTGTTGGTGTGGGGTCTTTGTCACACATTCTTGAATAACAATTTTTCTTAACAAAATCAGTAATGGAAGTATGCTCTACTTCCTGTTTTTCCAAATTTTTTAAAACTACATGGTGGTTTAAAATAGGAAATACCATGATGAGCTTCTGACATTGCCAGGTGATAACAGAATGCTTTTTATGTTTGCTGCTTATTGTAGGGGGTTAAAAAAATATCTTTTGTGTTAGTCTGTCCTTGCACTGCTATAGAGAACTATGTGAAACTGGGTTTTTATGAACCCAGTAATTTATGAAGAAAATAAGTTTAATTGACTCATAGTTCACAGGCTTTACAAGAAGCATGACTGGAAGGCCTCAGGAAACTTAAAATAATGGCAGAGGGCAAAGGGGAAGCAAGCATGTCTTACTATGGTGGAGCAGGGGAGACAGAGAGAAGGGGGAAGTGCCACACACGTTTAAACCATCAGATATCATGGGAACTCACTCACAATCATAAGAACGGCAAGGAGGAAATCTGCCCCCACTATCCAGTCAACTCCCACTAGACCTCTCCTTCAATTCCACATGAGATTTGGGCGGGGACATAAATCCAAACCATATCATTCTGTCCCAGGTCCCTCTGAAATCTCATGTCCTTCTCACATTGCAAAATACAATTATCCCTTTTCAACAGTCCTCCCATCTTAACTCATTCAGCATTAACTCAAAAGTTCACAATCCAATGTCTCATCTGAGAAAACATAAGTCCCTTCTGCGTATGAGTCTGTAAAATCAAAAACAAATGAGTTATTTTTAAAATACAATGGAGGCACAGGCACTGAGTAAATGCTTCAATTCCAAATGGTAGAAATGGATAAAACAAAGCGGCTACAGCCCCCATTCAAGTCCAAAACCCAGCAGATCAGTCGTTACATCTTAAAGCTCCAAAATAATCTCCTTTGACTCCATACATCACATCCAGTGCATGCTGAAACTAGAGGTGGGCTCCCAAGACCTTAGACAGCTCTGCCTCTGTAGCACTGTAGGGTACAGCCCCCAGGACTGCTCTCACAGACTGGCATTGAGTGTCTGCAGCCTTTCCAAGCACACGGTGCAACCTGTTGGTAAATCTACCATTCTGGGGTTTGGAAAATGGTGGCCCTCTTCTCACAGCTCCACTAGGCAGTGCCCCAGTGGGGACTCTGTGTGGGGGTTCCAACCCCATATTTTTCCTCCATGCTGTCCTAGCAGAGGTTCTCCATGATGGCTCTGCTCATGCAGCAGACTTCTGCCTGGACATCCAGCTGTTTCCATACATCCTCTGAAATCTAGGCAGAGGTTCCTAAACCTCAATTCTTGCATTCTACATGCCCAAAGGCCCAATATCAAATAGAAGCCACCAAGGCTTGGGGTTTGCACCATCTGAAAGAACAGCCTGAGGTGTACCTCAATCCCTTTTAGCCACAGCTGGAGCTGGAGTAGCTGGGACACAAGGTGCCATCCCCCTAGGCTACACAGAGCAGCAGGGCCCCAGGCCCAGCCCATGAAACCATTTTCTTCCCTAGGCCTCCAGACCTATAATGGGAGGGGCTGGCCATGAAGGTGTCTGACATGCCCTGGAGATGTTTTTCCACATTATCTTGGCTATTAACATTCAGTTCCTTATTACCTATGTAAATTTCTGCAGCCAGCTTGAATTTCTCCCCTGAAAATGGGTTTTTCTTTTCTACTGAATGGTCAGGTTCAAATTTTCCAAATTTTTATGCTCTGTCACCTCTCAAATGTTTTGCTGCTTAGAAATATCTTCCACAGGATACTGTAAATCATCTCTCCCAAGTTCAAAGTTCCACAGACCTCTAGGGCCGGGGCAAAATGCTGCCAGTCTCTTTGCCAAAGCATACCAAGAGTCATTTTTACTCCAGTTGCCAAGAAGTTCCTCATCTCCATCTGAGACCACCTTAGCCTAGATTTCACTGTCCATATCACTATCGGCATTTTGGTCAAAGCCATTCAACAAGTCTTTAGGAAATTTCAATCTTTCCCACATCTTCCTGTCTTCTTCGGAGTCTTCCAAACTTTCAACCTCTCTCCGTTATCCAGTTCCAAAGTCTCTTCCACATTTTGAGGTATCATTTGAGCAGCACCCCACTCCTGGTACCAATTTTCTGTATTAGTCTGTTCTCACACTTCTATAAAGAACTACCTGAGACTGGGTAATTTATGAAGAAAATGGGCTTATTTGACTCACAGTTCTGCAAACTTAACAGGAAGCAGGACTGGGAGGCTGCAGCAAACTTACAATCATGGCTAAAGGCAAAGGGGAAGCAAGGACCTTCTTCACATGGTGGCAGAAGAGAGAAAGAGAACAAAGGGGGAAGTGCCACACACTTTTAAACCATCAGATCTCATGGGAACTCACTACCACAAGAACAGCAAGGGGGATATCTACCCCATGATTCAATCCCCTCCCACCAGACCCCTCCTCCAACTTGACATGAGATTTGGTCGGGGACATAAATCAAACTATATCATCTTTAGATCAATAACAGCATACCAGATGCTAGGGTATTGGGGGAAATTCACCCCCAATATTTCACGTAGGCTCTTTTCTATTTTCCCTAAGTGTCAGCTGGTCTGAGAAATAAAGGGACAGAGTACAAAAGAGAGAAATTTTAAAGCTGGGTGTCCAGGGGAGACATCACATGTTGGCAGGTTCCGTGATGCCCCCCAAGCCACAAAACCAGCAAGTTTTTATTGGTGATTTTCAAAAGGGTAGGGAGTGTACGAATAGGGTGTGGGTCACAGAGATCACGTGCTTCACAAGGTAATAAAATATCACAAGGCAAATGGAGGCAGGGCGAGATCACAGGATCACAGGACCAATTAAAATTGCTAATGAAGTTTTGGGCATGCATTGTTATTGATAACATCTTATCAGGAGACAGGGTTTGAGAGCAAACAACCGGTCTGACCAAAATTTATTAGGGGGGAATTTCCTTGTCCTAATAAGCCTGGGAGCACTGCAGGAGACCAAGACTTATTTCATCCCTTATCTATAGCCATAAAAGACAGCCATCCCCAAAGTGGCCATTTCAGAGGCCTCTCCTTAAGGAGGCATTCTCTTTCTCAGGGATGTTCCTTGCTGAGAAAAAGAATTCAGCAATATTTCTCCTATTTGCTTTTGAAAGAAGAGAAATATGGCTCTGTTCCACCTGGCCTACAGGCAGCCAGAGTTTAAGGTTATCTCCTTTGTTCCCTGAACATTGCTGTTATCCTGTTCTTTTTTCAAGGTGCCCAGATTTCGTATTGTTTAAACAATTTGTGCAGTTAACGCAATTATCACAGGGTCCTGAGGCGACATTCATCCTCAGCTTACAAAGATGGCAGGATTAAGAGACTAAAGTAAAAACAGGCATAGGAAATCAGAAGTATTGATTGGGGAAGTGATAAGTGTCAATTAAATCTTCACAGTTAATGTTCAGAGATTGCAGTAAAGACAAGCATAATAAATTATAAAAGTATCAATTCTGGGAACTAATAAATGTCTATGAAATCTTCACAATTCATGTTCTTCTGCCATGGCTTCAGCCGGTCCCTCCGTTCTGGGTCCCTGACTTCCCACAACATTAGGGGCTGTATTAATTAGATTCAATAAGGAAAACATATTTGGGATAGTAGTTGCAATTGGAAAACCACCTAATTAAGTTCATGATAAAGCTGTGTATTTCCTTGTCTTAGTCAAACTGAAGAGTTAAGTGAGAATGTAATAGGAATCATCATTTCTGAAAATCTCCAGTTTTCTGATGTGTGAGTCTCAGAACAATGTAGTTTTGGTTTTGATTCAGCATAGACTCTAGAAGATTCCATTTGGTCTTTCTTACAATCATGAGATCCCCCACGATAAGAATGCAGGTATAAATGTGTATTTAGCTGAGAAGGTGTATCTCTAGTATTCACTTAGAAATGCTGTAAGTTTACCCATCATAAGCCTCTTCCACAATTCCTGGTGGGTCAGGGATGTTACAATTACAATCTGCCACAGCACATATCCAATATTATGCAAAGTAATCTTCATATTTTCCTTTATGCTGCACACTGTTACTTGGATGAATAGGTACAAGTCACTTTGGAGCAAGGTAAGAGAGTCATAGAAAGTATATATGAATTAATTTTTCATTTATATATACTTTCTATGACTCTCTTATCTTGCTCCAAATTAATTCAAGATGGATTAAAGACTTAAATGTTAGACCTAAAACCATAAAAACCCTAGAAGAAAACCTAGGCATTACCTTTCATGACATAGGCATGGGCAAGGACTTCATGTCTAAAACACCAAAAGCAATGGCAACCAAAGCCAAAATTGACAAATGGGATCTGATTAAACTAAAGAGCTTCTGCACAGCAAAAGAAACTACCATCAGAGTGAACAGGCAACCTACAGAATGGGAGAAAATTTTTGCAATCTACTCATCTGACAAAGGGCTAATATCCAGAATCCACAATGAACTCCAACAGACTTACAAGAAAAAAACAAACAACCCCATCAAAACGTCAGTGAAGGATATGAACAGACACTTCTCAAAAGAAGACATTTATGCAGCCAAAAAAACACATGAAAAAATGCTCATCATCACTGGCCATCAGAGAAATGCAAATCAAAACCACAATGAGATACCATCTCACATCAGTTAGAATGGCGATCATTAAAAAGTCAGGAAACAACAGGTGCTGGAGAGGATGTGGAGAAATAGGAACACTTTTACAGTGTTGGTGGGACTGTAAACTAGTTCAACCATTGTGGAAGTCAGTGTGGCGATTCCTCAGGGATCTAGAACTTAGAAATACCATTTGACTCAGCCATCCCATCACTGGGTATATACCCAAAAGATTATAAATCATGCTGCTATAATGACACATGCACACATATGTTTATTGCGGCACTATTCACAATAGCAAAGACTTGGAACCAACCCAAATGTCCAACAATGATAGACTGGATTAAGAAAATGTGGCACATATACACCATGGAATACTATGCAGCCATAAAAAATGATGAGTTCATGTCCTTTGTAGGGACATGGATGAAGCTGGAAACCATCATTCTCAGTAAACTATCGCAAGGACAAAAAACCAAACACCACATGTTCTCACTCATAGGTGGGAATTGAACAATGAGAACACATGGACACAGGAAGGGGAACATCACACACCGGGGCCTGTTTTCAGGTGGGGGGAGCGGGGAGGGATAGCATCAGGAGATATACCTAGTGTTAAATGAAGAGTTAATGGGTGCAGCACATCAGCATGGAACTTGTATATATATGTAACAAACCTGCACGTTGTGCACATGTACCCTAAAACTTAAAGTATAATAAAAAAAGAAAATATATATGATTTGATTACAATATCTTTCTTCAAGTGAATCCAATCCCCCTTCATTCACAGATACTTGGTGCCTTGAATTAATAACTAGGTGAAGGTTTGTAAGTCTCTATTTTGATGGTTAGATGAAGTAAACAGATTCACTGGAACAGAATTCTTTCTCCTGTTTGCTTATTTGTCTATTTGTTTTTGTTTATGCATTCTAAGTAGCAACTTTTTTTTTTTTTTTTGAGACAGAGTCTTGCTCTGTCACCAGGCTGGAATGCAGTGGTGCATCTCAGCTCACCGCAACCTCCGCCTCCCGGGTTCAAGCAATTCTCCTGCCTCAGCCTCCTGAGTAGCTGGGACTACAGGCAAGCGCCACCATGCCCAGCTAATTTTTGTACTTTTAGTAGAGATGGGGTTTCACCATGTTGGCCAGAATGGTCTAGATCTCTTGACCTTGTGATCCACCCTCCTCAGGATACCAAAGTGCTGGGATTACAGGCGTGAGCCACTGCGCCCGGCCAAGTAGCAACATTTTTGTCTTTTCATCTCATTTACTCCTAAAAACAACATGAACAATTTCCGTGAACAAAGATCCACTGCAGTCAAACTATTTTGTTTACTCTATTTATCCTTTTTCTTATTAAGGTAAACCATGCAATTTTGGCCTCTGAACTAGTGTAAGGACTTAATGCCTCTACTTAGTATCTGACACCCTACAATTCTTTCATCTTCATTTAAAATAAAGGATCTTTTTTCACCTACATAATCTCATATCAAAAGGCAGACTTACAGAGCAAAATCATTTAAGCATTTTATTCTCTCACTAATTCAGCAGATAAAAGTTAACATAACAAACCCGAGACTGTTATCCTTTGAAAAGTCCTAATTATACAATTGGCATTTGGTTGGCTTCTGTGGACTTAATATTTGGGGAGGGTTCTTACCATTCCCAGAACTGATAAAAATGACTGACTATGCCTAGATGGTTTATACTAACAATATGGTTTCTGCTGAACACCTGTTTCACTTCTGGGATTATAGAATTTTGATACATGCTAGGCAGAGAATGCCTACATGACTAGCCTCTAGCCAAAACCCTGGGCACTGAGTTTCTACTAAGCATCCTCAGTAAACAGAATTTCACACATGTTGTCACAACTCCCTGCTGGAAGAATTAAACATGTCCTGTGTGACCACCGGGAGAAAACTCTTGGAAGCTTGCACTAGGCTTCCACTGGACTTTCCCACATGCACATTTTCCTTTTGCTGTTTTGCTGTGTATCCTTTGGCTGTAATACATCATAGCCATGTGTACAACTCCATGCTGAATGCTGTGAATCCTCCTGTTAATTCACTGAGTCTGGGCATGGTTGTGGGGACCTCCTACATACCAATATATTTCTCTAAGACACTGATTAAGGAATTATTTATGGGCTCTGCTAGATGAGCAGGGTAGCAGATGAGTCACATATTTAAAGTCCACTGCATCATTTCTATTTCCATTGGATTCATTTTTGTATATAAAATTAAGAAAAATTTGGTATCTCACCTTTATTTATTGCTGAGTCCAATTTTAGACCCACATATATACAAACATTTGAACAATGCCGCACTGCTAGAATTAGAAAAACAAATCCAGAAATTCTGGTAAGTATACTTGCACTAATAAATTCAATTTGATCCAAAATGTTATCCTTCTCTTGGTCAAGCATCATCAGATTCTATGCTCTATTCTCAATATATTTCATGTATATAGATGACAAAAAATTCTTCTAATTTTTTATTTTTTGTGTGTGTTATGTAATTGCTCCTCCCTTTCCACCAAGATGTCTGGATTTGATTCTAGATAAAATTGCAGAGACAAGAAACAAGTGTGACACCAAAACAAGAGAAGAATTTGCTTTACTTCCCTTATAGTTTCCTGCATTTAGGACATTACTACTTATTTAATAAAGAGCAACCTAGTCTCATCCTCAAGGAGAAAATAACACTTTCTTTAGTAAGTACTCTCAGTAAGATTGGAAAGATTTTGACATATACAAAAATCTCTATCACGTATCCATTTCTTGTAATCCAACACTTATGCAATCAGGACCCTAAATTTTACAAACAAGTCCTAAGCGAGGTTGTAAAATAAATAAAACTTTAATTCAAAAATCTGAAGAATAAAACTTCACATTAGGTTTTCAGTAACTTCAAATTGTAACATTAGAGCATGAGAGATGAACTGGGATAGAAATGGAAAGCCTGTGAAGCATTTGTTTCATGCTTCCAGTGATTAATTGTTTGAACTGGTCATTTCTTTTTTTAAGCTATCTATATTCAATCTTGGCAGCTATCTCACTCTTGCATTTCTTCTGCCTTCATACTCTTTTATGAAATAGGCAATTCTATCCTCCACCACGTATTTTTATTGGGCAAGTATTTCCAGAAAAGTGTACATGATTATTTGGTTATTGTTCTACTCTATATTATGACTGTCCTTTTATTCAAACCCTGATCATTACATTTGTGCTCCCTGTAACTATTAATATGGCCAGATAGCAAATCTACCCAAATTCTCTATATCTAGATACCATTATCTGTAATAGCCAAATCTTGAATTGAAGTAATATCAACCAATTCTGGCTAACTTTAATAAAAATGGTATTTGTTAGAAAGCTATGAGGTGTCTTACAGAGAAAAAAAGCTAGAAAATTTGTCTCAGAAAAGTAGCAAAAATCCAGGGTATCTAAGCAACTGAATTCATGGTCGAGCATCATCAGATTCTATTCCCTATTCTCAATATATTTCATGTATATAGATGAAAAAAATTCTTCTAATTTTTTATTTTTTGTGTGTGTTATGTAATTGCTCCTCCATTTCCACCAAGATGTCTGGATTTGATTACTCTGGTACATAGTAACAACGTGGCTATGTAGCTCCTGTCACCACCACTGGACACTACTTACATCTCACTTACTGAAATGTTACTGTTAGAAACAGAAGAATGAATTCTAAACTGTTTCTGTTTCTTTTTGCTCCTGATTTTCTTTTGCTTTATTAAAGTCTTCAAGGAAAAATATGATTATCTTAGCTTACGTTAGATGTGTACATGCATGCTGTATCTCACTTTCTCAGACTTTCCAAGAGTGTTCCAGCATGTGCAAGTTCCGTGCCTCATGGAAAACGTTATACTATGATGGCTTTCCAAAATATACTGCCCATGATCTGAATTCCATTCCTACTTCCGGTGTTTATAAATTTCATTATTTCAACCCCAGGAATTTGATACATTTGAGTGGTATTACACTTTAGAAACAAAATATTAAAGGTAAAGAAAGATAATCACCACTTAATTAAAAGTAGTTTAAGAATGAATCAGATTTGCATTATTGGTTTTGGCTTAATGGCAAAATGCTTCAAATAGTATACGGAAATTATTTTGGGATGCTTTGGATAAGAATGGAAAGTGACATAAATATAAAGAATTGCAGCAAGTTGGTAAAATCTGTAAGCAAGACATATTATTGCAAATTAAACACAAATCATACATTAATGATGGTGTTGTTGACAACACATCTTGAGAAAATGATTCCTATTAAATATTGCTTTCTTTACTCTTTAGTGAAGAACTATAATATATAATGCCTGTATTATCTTTTGTTTTCATTTGTAGTCCTAGATTTATGATATAAATTGCATGAATTTTTAGCTATGCCTAGATTTTACTACTACTATTATTACTCCATCTACTATTAGCTAATATGTACTCAGGCTTATTATGTGCCATATCCTGTTCCAAAATCTTTTCATGCAATACTTCATGTTTTGCCTCTTTTTCCAAAATCCTTATGAGTTCCTGATTATTGTTCTCATTCTGATGAATGTAGAAGGCAATTTTTTTTCTTTTCTTTTTTTTCTTGAGATGGAGTCTCACTCTGTCGCCAGGCTGGAGTGCAGTGGCGCGATCTCGGCTCACTGCAACCTCTACCTCCCGGGTTCAAGTTATTCTCCTGCCTCAGCCTCCCAAGTAGCTGGGATTACAGGCATGCACCACCATACCCACTAATTTTTGTATTTTTAGTAGAGATGAGGTTTCACCATGTTTGCCAGGATGGTCTCGATCTCTTGACCTCATGATCCGCCCACCTTGGCCAACCAAAGTGCTGGGATTACAGGCGTGAGCCACTGTGCCTGGCCTGGCAATTATTTCTTAATCTAGAAATACAAGTTTAAAAACTTTTAACTCCACAGTAATTGGCTTTGGTTTATTATTTCTGATAGAAATATAATCAAATAGGTCTTCTTTTTCAAATGTTTACTGTTTGTAGAGTATATTGTAAAGAGCACTCAGTGTGTGTAAACCCTGTGAGTCATTTGCAGTGAGTCTGTAGAGAAGTTTATCTGCCACCATATTCATTGTATTTTCATACCACTCTCAGCTTACAAAAGGATAAAAATGACATTTCTAAATTCTGATACTCAATAAAGCTATGTTACTTAAAAATTAGAACTAATCTAAACTTTAGGCAGTTTTTGGTCCGCATTCGCAGCCTTCTTTTAAAAAATTCCTTGTACCCACATTGCAACACCTGGAGGATATTTTTATTTAAGTAAAATACTCTAAATAGTAACAGTTGTTTCTCAGATAATACCGCACAAATCAGTCACATTTCAGCTTAAGTAATATGTCTGGAGAAGTACTGTTTCCCCATCCCTTTATCTTCCTTTGATAACCAACACATTCATGTGTCAAAATACTTGTTTGAAAGTTACCACTTTTGGTCAATCTTACATTACTAAAAAAGTACTTGTTTATTCTGCAGAAAACAGAAAATAAACTATTATATAATTTCCAATTTTCTTGATATCCATTTTGCCAAATTCACTTAAATTCTGTTTGTCAGTTTTCTCTTTAAAACATAGTCAGTGCTCAACACCAAGTCTACTATTTTTTTAAAAGAGACAACAATAATTTAGTTAGCTTATGATTCTGCAATTTATTCATTTATTCTTTTGTTCTATTAAAAGGTTTTTAATATGATTTATGGTTTTCCAGACACTGTTTTACTTTGATAAGTTTTAGCAATTTTCTTTTAGAGCTCCTATTTCATTTATTAATGTATATTTCCCTTACTTAATCAAAATTGTATTCAGGTTTATGTTTTTGACAAATATTATTCATGGGCCTTATTTGGATCATGGTGTGTGATAAGTGCTGAGGTCACATTGTTCAGCAATAGAAGAAGAGATGTACTCCTGGGTTCACAGTATAAGTCATCTAGCAACTGCAGTGAAGATGAGTAAGAGAATTATGGGGTAGTGGTAGGGCTGGATAATGTCTAGACAACACATATCAGAGACAGAGACAATATGGCAAATTAGAGGAACTGAATTTATACTCTAAGAATGGTGTCAAAAGATGAAATTACTGATGAAAACAAGGAGCAGATGGAGCATAGGCTGACAATTGTAAGAAATTTTACTTTATACTAAACACAATAGAGAGCTTTAAAGGGATTTTTTGCAGAGACATTACTTGATCCCATTTCCTACAGTGTGAGGAATGAATGTGGAAGGGAAGAAGCTAGAAGCAAGAAGAGTTAGGAGACCATTAAAGTAACACAAGAGAAAGAAATTGCCAGGCCTCAGGGAATCAGTTCCTTGGAAATTGAGATAAATTGATTGCTTTGAGAAATATTTAGGAAGGAGAAACCCTGATTGATACTTTGGGATTGATTATATACAGGATTATGGGAGAGGAAATGATAATCAGGTTCAATTATGAATATTAAACATCACCCATAAGCATCATCTTGCTTAGCAAATGGTCTACGGTTTTTTTCTTCTCCATTCCTTAGCCCCATGAACCTTATTTTAAAAGTTTTTTAGCTTATATGTGTCTATAGGTGGGAATGTTTGAGTCAATCTAAGAAACAAAGCAAAGTCAGAAACAGAAGAAGGAGCATTGGAAACAAAAAGTCTGAGATGTAAGAATCTCATGAGACTCTTTATCTTTGGTAAAGCAGATATCGTTTCCATGAGACTCTTACACACCCATTCAACAATCCAAGGATGAAGCCAGGACCCAGTGTCCCAAAGATAGCATTGGGGAATACGTTGAGCAAGTAAGTGCCCCTTACCACACCCTCACTCAAGGAGTAACAATGGCATTTGCATAAACAGAGAAATCTGTTTGTATTTTCAAAGACAAGGCTTGTGTAGTTTCTATGCCTATATTCTTAAAACACCATGTAATACTACCTCTTAGAGGACAAAGGAGAGAATATTTTGTATTCAGGATTGGAAAGGATAATTTTAAATTGGAACTTGACTTGGATGATGCAAATATTGATCAAGTATAAAACAACATCTTAGACTGCTGTCTTTCTCAGTCTCTTGTGTCTTGCTTTTTCTGTGAATCAGCTACATTTTTAGTGATTGTAGGCTTTTTCCTACATGAACTCCTTAATTTTAACATGTATGGCTTCCTTCCCTGAGAAAACTGACTCTTTTCTCAGCTCCAGGTCTAAGCAT